>NC_000003.12:114917695-115220725 GCF_000001405.40 Homo sapiens | reverse complement strand
GATGTCATCAGAGGTCTCCTAGAGAGCTGCTCTCCTAGCATCATGTGTTTTGAGGAAATGTTCCAGGGTTTTGAGGAAAACACTGAAAGCAGTCTATATAGTACATCACCATCTAACTCTCCCTTCAGTGCCCCACCCACCCCAACACAAAGCAGTCTATATAGTACATCACCATCTAACTCTCCCTTCAGTGCCCCACCCACCCCAACACACGCAGCTATAAAATACCTCTCACTCAGCCTCTTCATTCATTTATGTACTTATTACTTTCCATGGTCCTTATTTGGAAAGGCAAATCCTTCTAGGAGTCATTACAAATAAAACCCCAAAATCAGGCTGAATTATTTAATCACATTTTCTGTTTTCCTTATGACCCAGAAGAAAAGGTGTCAGCAACTTGCCCACACATTTGAAATGCTGTGAATCCCTGACATTGCTCAAGTCTCAGAACCCAGTTGCTATGATCTGAACGTTGCTATGATCTGCACATTTGTGACCCCCAAAATTCATAAGTTAAAACCTAACTCCTAAGTTGATGACATTAGGAGGTGGGACCATTGGGAGGTGATTAGGACATGAGGGCAGAGCCCTTATAACAGAGGTCCCAGAGAGCTAGCTAGTTCCTTCCACCACTTGAGGACATGTAGAAGGTGCCATCCATGAACCGGCATGGGGACCCTCACCTGAGTCAGCAGATGCCCTGATCTGAACTTCTCAGCCTCAGAACTGTGAGGAATAAATTTCTGTTGTGTATAAGCCACCCAGTATACGGTATTTTGTTATAGCTGCCAGAGCAGACTGAGATGCCCATTTTCCCCCTCTGTGCCTTCTTTCTATCTTTGGTACTTTGCAGTGTCACTCAGAAAGTTGCAGAACAGTGTTCAAACTATTGATAGAGGCATTCTCGGCTCTCCTGGAAGATAGCCAGGCATTCCCACAGTCAGCCAAGTCACCTTCAGATATAAGAAGGACAGCCACTCTTGGAGCCATCCCTCCACTCTAGGAGCACTCTAGGTGCTCACCCCCTGGCCCACCTAATAGGGGCCATTTGCATGATCCTGTGGTCTAAGTTTAATACATGACCTGAGAAGCTAGGAAAAGAAAAGACATTGACAAGAATTAGGGAGAAAAATAATCCTGCTGGGATCTTATGATTTCCATAATCTTTATTTTCTTCAGCTGCAAAATAAGATAATTGGACAGCATAGCCAAAAAGATCTCTTCCAGTTAGGGTGACCAACTTGTTGCAGTTTGCCTAAGATAGCCTTGATTTTAAAACTGAAAATGTCACATCCTGGAGACCTTCTCAGTCCCTAGCAACCCAGGATAGTTGGTCATCTAATTTTCCTCTCCAGTTCATGAGGAAGTCCTAACTCATCATTTGATTGATACACACATATTTAGATTCATTTTTTGGTTTTAAAAGTAATAAGTTTCTACTTCATCATGCTTAATTTCAGCAGAAATGCAAATAATTCTGTCTTATCTCTCACATGGGCTTTAGACTTTATATATTGCACAATGTTGGTTAATGCAGGCAAATGAATGCTAAAACGTAGAAAGTTGACATTTCTTTACTTTGTGAACTTTTTGGCTATGCCCCACTGTGTGTTTTGAGCCTGTGTGTGGCATGGCAGCTGTGTTGTGGCCTCAGAGGACAGTGACATGATGTCATCAGAGGTCTCCTAGAGAGCTGCTCTCCCAGCATCATGTACCTGACAGAGAAAAACACTGCACAAGGTCTAAAACCAAGGGTCACAGTATCTGTAAATGCTACACAAATTATCACCTGCTATTTGCTATTCATATTAATGTAATTATTTCTGTGATTATTCCAAATTATTTAATTTTACAATTTCTGCTTTGAAAGAAAGCAATGACTTCATCTTTAGCTACTATTCTGAAATCAGTCATAGTGACTACAATCCCTTGTTTTCTTCACAAAAGAAAGAAAACAGATGACCTTTGCTCTGACCTTTGACTTGATATTTACAAAAGCTAATTATAGGGTGGGTCAACTTCCTTTATCATTCAGAGACATTTGGTAAAGCTCTACTCTTCAATTTTTTTTTAAGTCGCTTAGAGGGCAATTTAGGGCTGTATACAGTATGATTAAATCTAGAAAGAAATAGTTAATTTGGAATTTTGGCCATCAACATTGATTTTCTCAAAACCAATCAAGTATAACATGGAAGCTGTATAAGTCAGCAATTAAAATCAGTGTTTCACTAACAAAATGAAATCAGTTATCTGCTGGTCTGGTGGTTAGAGGTCATAGACATAGAGATACACAGTCTGAGACCTTCAGCATTAAACCTCTCTCAGTTTTCACCACCACTGCCTCTACTACTGCGTCAGCAAGAAAAGGACTGCAGCAACTGTGTAGTACTTAAACTGTAAAGGTTACTTGGCTAATAAAGAGATGAATGCCGCCAAGACAGAGCACAGTCATACATCCCTGTAGTGCATGTAACTTATTTACCTTTCATATAATTGTTATGCTTATAAACAGAAGCTTAAAAAGGATAAACAGTCAGAAGAGAAAAAAAGCATTAGGTAGTCAAAACAATGATGCAACCACTCAGCATTGCGCTTTCTCCCCAAGCTTCCCTTGGCAATCTTTTTCTCAGGCTAAGAGTAAAGGTCTGATTCCTTTTGTTCATTTCAGCCACCGCCCTTTAGCAATCTGAGTCTGAGCAAGACTGCCACGCCCAATCAAGGGACAAAGGCAGAAATAAGGGAAACTGGGCACAGAGACAGCTTGACTTCATTTATACCTGTGCAATATGTTGGGCTCTGTGACATGAAGGTGCAAATCAGTTGCTATCTCTATAAACAAACAATTAAAACAAGAGGCTTAAAATTTATATCTATGTTCTGAAACGCTATCTGGTAAAAGTATTCTTTTCCTAGAAAGAAAGAGATGTGGCCAAAGTGGTCTCTGATTTTCAGAAGAAGGGTGAATGCTGCCCCCTTTTGACTGAGCACAATATATACCGTGTATCCATAAACCTGAAACATAAAGCAATGCACAGTGAGAATAAAGATCCTATGTCTGTAATGAGAAATCTGATTAAATATTGGAAGCTAGAAAGTATAAAGGGGCTCAAAGTTTATCTAGTACAAGTCTCGAGGGGCCTTTTCTAGCTTCTTGGAAGATTGGTCATCCTTCATCCAGGCTTCTATATCATTTTAGTTGTGTCTCTTTTGTAGATTCTCAATTCTGTCTGGAGTGATCATATGAGTTTACTGCACTGTTTCTCCCACCAGTGATAGACTCCTTGAAAGACCGAGCTACATCTTTTTATTTTGCCTGTGTAACTCTCACAGTGCCTACAAACACTTGTGCATAGTGGGTTCTCATAAATAAATGTTTATTAAATACAAATACCTAGATGAGGTCATCATAGTCTGTAGTTGTGAGTAGTTCTCTCTTTAAAAAGCTAATGAGTCTATCTGGGATTTAAAGTTGACATTCACACAAATGGTGCCATACTTTAACCCAAGAACTGCAAACTTTTATGCACACATCCCTGGCTTATTTATAAATTATATGCATCTATTACTGAACTGTTATAGAAGTTAAAACATAAAAATTAAACAAGAGGAAAAAAACTTTGTCACACTATGTAAAGACATAACATTGAGTGAAATAAACTAGGCACAAAAGAGAACATACTGTATGATTCCATTGACATAACACTCAAAAACAAGCAAAACTAATGCATAGGCATACCTCAGAAATATTGTGGGTTTAATTCCAGACCACCATAATAAATAAAATATTGCAATAAGATGAATATCACAATAAAGCAATCACATGAATTTTTTTGTTTCCCAGTGCATATAAAAGTCATGTTTACACTGCCGGGCATGGTGGCTCACTCCCGTATTACCAGAATTTTGGGAGGCCAAGGTGAGCAGATTGCTTGAGCCCAGGAATTCAAGACCAGACTGAGCAATATAACAAAACCCTGTCTCTACAAAAAATACAAAAATTAGCCGGGCATGGTGGTGTGCACTTGTGGTCCTGGCTACGCTGGAGGCTAAGGTGGGAGGATGGCATGAGCCTAGGAGGCAAAGGTTGCTGTGAGCAAAGATCATGCCACCACACTCCAGGCTGGGTAGCAGAGTGAGACCCCATCTCAAAAAAAAAAAAAAAAAACAGTTTAGTTTACACTATACTACAGCCCATTAAGTGTGTAATGGAATTACATCTAAAAACCTTAACTAAAAAATGCTAGTAATCATCTGAGTTGTAATCCTTTTGCTGGTGGGGGATCTTGTCCTGATGCTAATGGCTGCTGACTGATCAGGGTGGTGGTTGTTGAGGGTTGGGGTGGCTGTGGTAATTTCTTAAAATAAGACAACAGTGATGGGAGTGTAAATTAGTTCAAACATTGTAGAAGACAGTGTGGTGATTCCTCAAGGATCTAGAACTAGAAATACCATTTGACCCAGTGATCCCATTACTGGGTATACCCAAAAGATTATAAATCATGCTACTATAAAGACACATGCACAGGTATGTTTATTGCAGCACTACTCACAACAGCAAAGACTTGGAACCAACCCAAATGTCCATCAATGATGGACTGGATTAAGAAAATATGGCACATACACAACATGGAATACTATGCAGCCATAAAAAAGGATGAATTCATGTCCTTTGTAGGGATTTAATCACAAATGAATTTTTAATCATTTGTGATTAAAAGGATGAAGCTGGAAACCATGATTCTCAGCAAACCATCACAAGAACAGAAAACCAAACACCCCTTGTTTTCACTCATAAGTGGGAATTGATCAATGAGAACACATGGACCCAGGGAGGGGAACATCACACACCAGGGCCTGTCAGGGGGTAGGGAGCTGGGGGAGGGATAGCATTAGGAGAAATACCTAATGTAAATGACAAGTTGATGGGTGCAGCAAACCAACATGGCACATGTATACCTGTGTAACAAACCTGCACGTTGTGAACATGTACCCTAGAACTTAAAGTATAATAATAAAGAAAAGACAACAATGACACTTGCCACATTAATTCTTCCTTTCACAAAAGATTTCTCTGCACCATGAGATAAGGTTTGACAGCATTTTACCCACAGTAGAACTTCTTTGAAAATTGGAGTTAATCCTTTAAAACCCTACCACTTCTTGATTAACTAAGTTGATGTAATATTCTAAGTCTTCTGTTGTCATTTCAACAATGTTCATAGCATCATCACCATTAGATTTTATCTGAAGAAACCACTTTCTCTGCTCATCCATAAGAAGCAACTGCTCATACATGCAAGTTTGATCACGAGATTGCAGCAAATCTGGCTGAAATATCTTCAGATTCTACTTTTAATTCTATTTCTATTGCTGTTTCTGCCACATCTGCAGCTGCTTCATCCACTGAAGTCTTGAACTCCTCAAAGTCATCCACGAGGACAGGAATCAACTTCTTCCAAACTCCTGTTAACGTTGATATTTTGACCTCTTCCCATGAATCATGAAGGTTCTTAATGACATCTAGAATGGTAAATCCTTCCCAGAAGGTTTTCAATGTAGTTCATCCAGATCCATCAGTGGAATCACTATCTGTGGTAGTGATATCCTTAAAACTGTATTTCTCAGATAATAAGACTTGAAAGTCAAAATCACTACTTTATCCATGGGCTGCAGAAAGCATGCTGTTTTAGCCAGCATTAAAAGAACATTAATCTCCTTCTACATCTCCATCAGGGCTCTTGGGTCTGAGATAGGTGCATTGTCAATGAGCAGTAATATTTTAAAAGAATTTTTTTTCCTGAATAGTAGGTTTCAATGGTATGCTTAAAATACTCAGTAAACCATGCTATAGACAGATGTGCCATCATCCAGGCTTTGTTGTTCCATTTGTAGAGCACAGACTTAGTAGATCTGGCATAATTATTAAGGGTCTTAGGATTTTCAGCACAATAAATGAACACTGACTTCAACTTAAAGTCATCAGTTGCATTAGCCTCTAACCAGAGAGTCAGCCTGTTCTTTGAAGCTTCGAAGCCAGGCATTAATTTCTCCTCTCTAGTTATGAAATCCTAGATGGCTCTTCCACTATAAGTCTGTTTCATCTACATTGAAAATCTGTTATTTAGTGTAGCCACCATCATTAATTAGCTTAGCTAGATATTCTGGGTAACATGCTGTAGCTTCTTCAACAGCACTTTCTGCTTCACCTTGTACTTTTACGTTATGGGGACAGCTTCTTTCCTTAAATTTCATGAACCAACTCCCGTTAGTTTCAAACATTTTTCTGCAGCTTCTTCACCTCTCTCAACCTTCACAGAATTGAATCCAGGGCCTTGCTCTAGATTATGCTTTGGCTTACAGGAATGTTATGGCTAGTTTGATCTTTGATACAGACCACTCAAACTTTCTCCATATCAGCAATAAGGCTGTTTCACTCCTTTCTTTTTTTTTTTTTTTTTTAATCATTTGTGTGTTCACTGGTGTAGCACTTTTAATTCCTTCAAATAATTTTCTTTGCACATCTTTGTTAACTGTTTGGCTCAAGAGGCCTACCTTTGGGCTTCTCTCAGCTTTCAGCATGACTCTCTCACTAAGTCTAATCATTTCTAGGATTTGATTTAAAATCAGAGTTGTACAACTCTTCCTTCCTTTTTTTTTTTTGGTTTGACACTTAGAGGCCATTGTAGACATTGTAGGGTTATTATTGATCTAATTTCAACATTGTTGTGTATCAGGGAATAGGAAGTCTTGAAGAGAGGGAGAGAGACAGGAATGACCTGTTGGTGGAGCAGTCAGAACACACACAACATTTATTAATTAAGCTTGCCGTCTGATATGGACATAATTTGTGGTGCCTCAAAACAATTACAATAGTGTTAGCTTGGTGCAAACGTAATTGGGTTCTTGACATTAAAAATAATGGTGAAACCATAATTACTTTTGCTCTAACCTAATAACATCAAAGATCACTGATCACAGATCACCATAATAGATATAATAACGGAAAAGTTAGAAATATTGCCAGAATTTCCAAAGTGTGACATAGAGACAAAAAGTGAGCACAGCACATGTTGTTAGAAAAATGGTGCCAATAGACTTGCTCTATGTAGGGTTGCCACAAACCTTCAATTTGTAAAAAACACATTACCTGTGATGTGTGATAAAGTGAAGTGTGATAAAACAAAGTATGCCTGTGTGGAGTTAGGAGTCAGGATAGTGATTAACTTTGAGAATATTGATTAAAAAGAAGAACAAGAATGACTTCTATAATGCTACTAAGGTTTTATTTCTTGATCTTGATGTTGGCTGCACAGGTATGCTCAGTTTGTGAAAACTTATTAAGCTATATACTTACATGCACTTGTCTGTGTATATTATACTTCTTTAAAAATGTGGGCCAGGCGCAGTGGCTCACACCTGTAATCCTAGCACTTAGGGAGGCCGAGACAGGCGGATCACGTGAGGTCAGGAGTCTGAGACCAATCTGAGACCAATCTGGCCAACATGGTGAAACCCCGCCTCTACTAAAAATAGAAAAATTAGCCAGGCATGGTGACACATGCCTGTAGTCCCAGCTACTCGAGAGGCTGAGGCACGAGAATCACTTGAACCCAGGAAGCAGAGGTTGCAGTGAGCCGAGATGGCACCACTGCCCTCCAACCTGGGTGACAGAGCAAGGCTCTGTTTAAAAAAAAAAAAAAATTACACAATATTTTTTTCAGTGTAGGGGACAGAGAACAGGCAACCTAGAAGACTGAATTGCATATTTCCTGGGGTGCATACTTCCCATTTTAGATACCTCTGCTTTAATTAACAAAGCTAACCAAACTCTTTCAGCTTCTGGTCAGACAGGAAGACACCTTCAATATGTGAAAATGTTCTAGCAGGAATGCCTTACATCAGTTCCCAGTTGCTGTAGCAACTACAGGGCTCCTATTCTCCTTGAAAAGAAGTATGTTCCTCTTTCTGCCCCTCTCAGGTGCCTAATACATTAATGCTTACTTTGGAAAGTAATTTCATGCATGTGAACCTAACTTCTGGGATAAAAGAGAGCACTTTCACAATGATGAACTTAATGTTTGCCTCCCTCAGCCTCAGATTTCTTATCTGTAAAATGGCCTTGTAAAGTCTTGTGAGGAAGATTTGCCACATTAAAATTTAATAAAGGCAGGGTCTGACAACTGTTGATCTTTAAGAAATTTCAATTCTTAGAGAAAATGTCCTGCTCTCAGAGTCAGAAGATCCATATTTTAGACCTGATTCAGCCAGTCACTACGGTGAAAACTTAAGAATGTCACTAAATCTTTTTGCATCTTCATTACCACAACTGTAAAATGACCAGGTGGCCTTCAAGTTACAAAGGTATGCACTTAGATGTAAATAAAGACAAAAAGAACAATACAAAACTCTGCCAGCTGGTGAGTAGAGGTTCAATTTGTCCCAGCTGCATGATTAGAATTTTATGACTTGCTGGACACTTGCTTCCTTGGCTTTTCACTTTATTACAACAATTTCCTGTAATAGTATAATTTCCTGTTTTGTTCCTTGCCTTCCTTTTACCTTGCTTTACCACACTGTGCTGTGGGACCACGAAGTTTTTAAAGAATAAGGACTCGAAGGAGACCCTAAGTCCTTTGTGGCCTGTTAGCTCTGCTAACAGGACACATCCTCTGACACACTGAATGAAAATTATGGCAGTAAGAGCAAACAAAAATGGGTTGGCCTGTGTTGAAAGGTACAGCATGGAGAGTATATATTAGAAGGAAGGACGTCAGTTATTACATTTGCAGAAGCAAAGTAGAACAATACAAACCAATTGCTATTAAAAATGAATTGGAGATGATGCTATTTAAGAAAAATCTGGAATAGTTTAAGCAGAAAAAAGCTAGTCAGAACAACAGGAGATTAGACCTTAAGTATAAATCTGCTTTTAGAGAATAATTAAGACTTCAAAGCAAGGAGGAACACTGTTAGAGATAGATGGGCACAACTCCAGAAAATATATTGATGCCTATACTTAAATATTTAGTAATAATGCATATATGAAAAGACATACATAAAAGGTGTTGGAAGATATGTAAAGATTCTATGCACTTTTCAAGACTCTGGGATGATTGAATAGAACTAAAGAAACAAAAGACTATGAAATTGTTGATATGCAGCCTTTCATACTTATCTCATTAATATTATTGAGACAAGAGCTGAGTAGAACTAAGATTAGACTATGTTATAGACAGAGTGATGGATGAATATAATTGCAAAGAAGAAATATGAGACAGAGGAGAAAATGGGAAATTAGAGTTAGCTTTCAAAGACAATAAAAGTAATAAAGAGAAGCAGCCCAAGATAAGTGTCCTTGTAGAGAAGAATAGGTAACAAAAACGCAGTTATCTTCATCTGGGGAAGGCTGAAAGTCCAATGCAAATGTTAGAACTGTCCACAGGAAAAATCAGGGGTGGGATGAGCTGGCCTAATTCACAGTCTGAGAGTGGTTGTTTTAAGCTTACTTTGGATAATCCACCATATGAATACTACCCAATTCAGGTGCAGAAGTTGCTTTAACAAATGATAAAGATTGTTTTCAGAGAAATTAACTTTGTCATGTAAAGCAAGGATTTTGGGGCTGGTGAGAAAAGCTTATGAGCTCCTAAAGCTGTATACTCCACCAAAGTACACATGTGAGACACTGGTAAGGGGTTTCTGACTATCCTGAATGCAATTAGAACTATTAGATGAAATAGTTCCTAGATCCACACTTCTCAAACTGTATTGGAAATATGAATCACCTTGGGGTTTTTTTAAATGCAGATTCTGATTTATTAGGTCTAAGAGCCTGAGATTCTGCATTTGTAAGAAGCTCTTACACTACCCAGGTAATGCCTATATCTGGATGATGATACACTTATTGTATGAAAGTAAACATGCACATTTTAAAAGGGAAAAGAAACATGAACAGCATGAGACATATACCAAATCATCATTAATTTTAGTTAGAGATTGAATTGTTCATTTAATAATAAAAAGATAACTAAATATAATTCCAGACCTCCAGAAGTTCACTATCTACTTGAAGACACATTACATTGTAGCTGTCCACATGACTGAGCACTACAATAGAAGTATGATTACAGTGCTTTGGAGCACAGAGACAGGGTGAGCCAGCAATAGAGGGGAAGAAAAAAAGAAATAGCACAGAGGCCAGGCAAGTAGTTTAGTATTGCTTAAGTGCAGAATTTATTTAGAAGAGGCAAGAAGATGAGGATGGATAGGTAGATAGAGGTCACTAAAGTTCTGGTTCTCTATCCCAGAGGCATTTGAACATTATCTTATCAGCAATGTTAAGCCATTGAAGTGAACAAAGATGACATAATTGGATTTGTGTGTATAAACAGCCATTCTTACCTATGGTGTAGGGTGTGAGTTATGAGTGTGATTGGGCCCAGAGATGGGTAAAGTATTTTAGTAGTCCCATCAAAAAATAAGAAGGCTTGAAGTAAGTCAGTGGCCATCAAAATAAAGAGGGAGGTGAGACTAAGGAATATGTGTTTAAGCCAGCTGCTGCAGTACAAACCAAGGTTCCAAATGAAGTACTCCACAAAGAAACCTTCAAATAAAGAAAGGAGATTGTTTCCATGCTTATTCTCCAGAAACCAAGTTAACAGAAGTTCATATATTTTAACTTATGTCTATAATATAATGATCTGTTTTGAGCAAGAGGGTGATAATAACAGAAAAATACACAAAATGAACTAGAATTTTAACATAAAAGAGCTAGAAATATCACATGCTGTCTTGGCATCCGAAATGAAGGGATGGAAAGAAGCCTCCATTTTTTCTGCAGTCTAAACCAAAAAAAGCTTTATCCTAAATATGCAAAGAAGGTGAAAGCCTATTTAAGCACTAACTATGGCACTTGGAGAAATAGTGAAAGCCTGAATTAACCACCAAACAATGAACAATTTGGAGATGGATTTAGAAAAAAGTATTACTACATAACAGATGCTGCCCCAGGCTCCATTGATCTGAAAAGATATTTAAAAAAAAAACTTAAGGTCATGGCAGCAACCAAAAACTGTTTTCTGTATCAGGCCCTTATTAACATCATCCCATGGAAGAGGCTCTTTTCAATTCTCCCCGAGAGAGGCTCAAAAGTAGCTTCTGAACAACTAACATCATTAAATTTGCCATTTGTGGATATGGGCCATGCAGCTTCATGTCCTGGCCTCTCCTGTTACTGGCTGCTTACCTCTCTGTTAATACTGTCTCCCTCGGTATTAACTTGCAGTTACATTCATCCCTCCACTGGCATCCCAGCTACTCTCCCAGAAGTCAACCCTTCTTCAATCGCTTTTAGACATTGCTGTTCTCCCTGTCATTCCTTTGAGACCCCAGAACACACCTACTAGCCTCAACTGGGTAAAAGGTGGGTGGATTCCCTGCCTTCTAGCACATGCGGGCCTTTGCATACTCTTTTCTGCCACAGGGCTTTGCTCCCACTTGCATAGTCTTCATTTGCTTCCCATCCCGACTCCCACAGAAGATTTGCCTCTACTCTTATCTATGTTTTCCTGCCCTCTATTGCCAGATTCAGTTCCAACTCCTACCTTTGGACCTTACCTGCATAGCAAAATCCATTCAAAACTCCTCTTATTAGAACTGATAGTGCTACTTTTGATTGAGAAAAGACTCGGTACTCAACTGAAAATATTTAAATGTATTGGAAAAGATAAATGCTATATATAAGAAATGAGTAATGTCAGGCTAAGTTTGCTGGACATTGTACTTTAAATGCAAGCTGTATAAGCCATATGGCGACTAGAAGAAGCCCTAGTCCTAAGTACCTTACTCATTAAGAAGGAGGAACTACTTTATCAAAAGGCAATGATGGTGGAACATGGTGGCTCACTCCTGTAATCCCAGCACATTGGGAGGCCAAGGCAAAAGGATTGCTTGGTCCCAGGAGTTTGAGACCAACCTGGACAACATAGTGAGACCTTGTCTGTACAAAAAATAAAAAATTAGCAGGGCATGATGGTGCATGCATGCCTGTAGTCCCAGCTACTTGGGATGCTGAGAATGGGAAGATTGCTTGAAACCAGGAGGTGGAGGCAGCAGTGAGGCGTGATCACACCACTGCTCTATGGTCTGGGTGACAGAATGAGACCTTGTCTCATTTAAAAAAAAAAAAAGTAAATGACTTCTTAACTGAAAGTACAAAGTACAACTTTTCTTTCTGCCTTGGCTTTTGTGATACTAGGCTCTTATGGTTTTCTTTCTGTGTGTTAGTTTTCTCTTGCTGCCATAACAAATTATCACAAACTTAGAAGGTTAAACACCCAGTTAGTATCTCACAGTGAGTGGGTCAGAAGTCTGGGAATAGAATGGCTCAGCTGGATCCTCTGCGAAGGGCCTCACAAGGCAGGAATCAGGGTGTCAGCTGGGCTCTTATCTGGGGCTCTGGGGAAGATTCTGCTTCCAAATCCATTACAGTGTTGATAGAATTCAGTTCCTTGTGATTGTAGGAACTCATTTTCCTGTTTCTTTGACATACGATCCACTTAATCTCTAAGTCAAGGAGGACAGTTCTAATCCTTCTTAGGCTTCAAATATCTGACTCCTCTTTTACCATCAGGCAGAAAATGAGCTCTGCTTCCCAGGGCTTACATGAGTAGATTAGGTCCACCTAGACAATCCAGAGAAGCTCCCTATTTTAAAATCAGCTGATTAGCAACCTAAATGACATCTTTAAAGACCTTTTGACATATTCATAGGAGTAACCCGAGGAGGTGAAGACCATGAAGGCCAACATTTTGCCTAACAGATTCTACATCACTGCTACTCTTCCTTGGACTCCATTGTTAGCCCATCTCTATCTGTACTAAGGTTTTCAACACTGACTGCTTATTATGATTACCTGGAGAATAATTTAAAAAATGGATGCCCAGTCCTTGAGATCAACTAAAGCAGAATCTTTTGGGTGGGGCTGCCTCAGTGGTTTTCAAAAACTATCCAGGTGATCCTAATGGTAGCCTAAACTGAGAACCATTGATCATCACTCTTTTCTTGAATCAGCTTATCAATTGATGGACATGATTTTAATCATCATCTCTGTAATAATAATTCTCCAGTCTGCATCTCTATCTCTGACCTCTCTTGCTGTATTCCAGACTCAAATTTCCAAAATGACTACTAATGAGGAAATCAGTCCTTCCATGGTCATTAGATCTTCATGTCACATGTTCTAAAAATTTAAATCACAGCTAAAAATTATCTTTAATATTTTACTCTCCTAGGAAACTACTGTAACCCTTTATATAAACAAAATATTTATTATTTATATGTGACCACTTTTGAATGTTTGCTAAAAGTCTTTTCAAAAAGACTTTTGAACTTTGTTCACCCATAACAAATTCATTTTCCCCTTCCTTGTTGTCACTTGTTTTCCTATTTCCCACCTAAATATGGGTCAGTAGGCCTTTCCTGCCTCCAGTCACAAAGCAATTCTCAGAGAAGTTTTAGGATATACTTTTGTATATTAAAAAAAATGTAAGTGTGATGTTCTAAGGGACCAGGAAATGATAGTACCCAGGTTTGGCTATGAATACCCCATTCCTTCCTTGCTACAATGCCAGCCTTATGAACAATAATAGTTTCATTTGTATCCTGAATATGTGTTTTCCTCCATAACAACCTAGAACAATTCAATATAGATGTCCTGTAATGGCTTCAAATTCGACATATCCGAAACAAATTCACCAACTAATGATGGATTGCTCAATTGTCAATCTAGCCTTAATGACTAAAAGTTTCCCCCAGAATGTAACCTTGCACAGAGCTCTCAGCTGAGCCAAATGTTATTTGGAAAAACATATATATATATATATATATATATATATATATATATATATATATATACACACACACATATATATATATACACACATATATATATATATACACACATATATATACATATATATATAAATACGTGTGTGTGTGTGTGTATATATATATATATATGAACTACAAATATGTATATTTGGAAAATACTTACTATGTAGCCAAAAAATAATGAGTCTCCTAGAAGGAAGCCAAGAAAAGGCAGGATACAATATGGAGCATTGGTCTATGTAGTTCTTTAGTCTACAATTCAATAAAATCATCCCATTTAAAATTAATCTGCTTTTTATTTTTGGTACCACCTGTGGTAGAAAGATAATGTCTATATGATTCCTCATGCACATATCAGACTTTCTTTTTTAGCTTTCAATTATGCTTAAAACATAAACTTCTTACCACAACCACAAGGCTCTGCAAAGATAGGGTCCCTGCCTACCTCTGCAACGGTATTTAGAGCCATTATCACCCTAACTCTCTGTCCTAACTATATGAACCTTCAGTTCCCCAAACACACTAACTTCTCTCTCCACCTCAGAGCTTTCATCTAGGCTGATCTTTCTGCCTGAATTCCTTATGCTGCCTTCTCTTTGTCCTGTTAACATCTGTATCCCTTAGGTCTTCACTTAAATAACTATTTTTTCTTCAAAGAGGTTTTCATTGGCTCCCTCTACTCAAAAAATCAAGTTAAGAGCATCACATTGCCTTTCAAATAGCCTCTATTGTCTTGAACCTCATAGCACTAGTCACAGTTTTAATTATTATAATTATTAATCTTTTATTGTGTGTTCAATGCACCACTAGATTACAATCAGTAAACTGTCAGGAACCATTTTGTTTTCCTCTGTGTATAGTGCCTTACACAGTTTCTAGTATTAGGTACTCTACTTCTTGAATGAATAAATACATGAATGGAAGAACACATTTCTTAAAAACATTTTTTGACCATCGAAGGCCATGTAGCTTGATAGAGTATCATTCTTTTTGTGCTCATGTCTACTTTCTGATAACGGAGGGAGAAAATCTTAGTCATAGTATAGTGTACCTTTTGACCTAAATACCATAAAATTTTATTATTCAATCTATATAAATACAATATTCTAGGGATAGGTACTCTTCTGGTCAGTAACCAGATTACATATTTCCATCATTTCTGTCTTGTAACAAAGTGTTGGTCATAGTCATCTGATCAGAACCGTGGGAACTATCGTGGAAAAAAATCTATTATACACTAATATATGATTCCTTTTCCTCATCTGCCACTTGTTCTTATTCCAAAGAGTACACATAACCTTCAAAACTGCTCTTAATTCTTTCAAGAGCAGTGACAGATACTTCCTGATGACAGTGATTTCTTGAAATCCAGTATTAAAATATCATTTCCTCTACGGAGAACACTGTAATTGTTCTATCAAAATTGGAAAAGCTCATTCCCTTGAACCAAGCAACTCCCCTGAGGAATACTGTAACGTCTTATCAACCAATTATTTTCATTTGTGTTATTAAACTTACCTGTTGCTGATGTCCTAATGCAAGTCTCGTAAGAATTCTGGAATAGCCTATGTAGGAATTCAATCTGCAGTCTGTTTCTACAAAAAATAAAAAATAAAAAAAAATTTAAAAAGGCCTAATCTTATCCTTATCCTTGCCCTCTCTCTTTATCATTTCATGTTTGCTAATGTTGGCAGTAAATTAGTCAGGCTGGGTTCATTAGAAGAGGATTCCATTCCTATCATCTCCGAGAGAAAAGTCATAAGTAGAGGACATAAAGAATTTACTAGATTCAAAGTTTTTTATTAATCCTAAACTGGATATTAATAGTAATCATCCATCTATGAATACCAGAGTTTTTAACTCCAAGAGAAAAAAATGGTTTTATTTCAACTACAGAATTTGTAGCCCTTCCATAAATCAGCATTACTATTCTACACATTTAAGAATGGAGATCCAACTCTATTGTGACTGTTCTAGTTGTAGGAAACTAACAGCAAATATCTTGGACTCATGAGTCCTCAGCAGAGCCATATGTAACTTTTACTTCCATCATTGTTCTGCCTTCTTCCCAGGACACAGAATTTTGTAACAAGTTAAACCCCATGACACAGTGGCATTCACAACTATCCTTATTATTTCCTGCTTTCAGACCTCCAGGAATGTGTCCCAACACATGTGGACTCTGTACTCAGACATGTTATGCTGTCAATAGTAGAAAAAAGGAATGGAAGAGTTAGCCAGAACCAGCAAAATTGGGGCTATGGGAGATAACTTGGCAGTAAGACTGGTCTTCAAAGAGGAGTATAAATTTGAACCTAGTCCAGACTTATGCTGATATTCAGGAGATTCTACCTAAGAAGTCAGAGCACTATAGGAAGAGTCTCTGGATAGTAGCTATACTTCTTGTTGGGCACACTTTGGTCTGCAATTAAGTTAGTCCAGTTTGAAAGTGGCCCGAAAGAAAGTTCAGTCCCCAGAGAAAGTAGATTTACAGAAAAAAAAAAGGAAAGAGGATTAGAGTATTAGGTCAATGATGAGGAGGTTATGGTCCCAGTAGAAAGTTAGATTGCACACCAGACAGGAAGCAGAAACCATGCACACGGACTAGTTACATATGTTGAACATTACTGGGCAGATTGCCCCTTACTGCAGAAGCATGTGGCAAAGGGCTTTGCCCAGGACACTAAAACTCAGCCTGGAGGCCACAGACCATTTCCAGACTCTATTCACTTATAAATTTGAACAACTAAAGTACTGACAAGTTTGATTTCCACTGGTTTAGGGAGTTGTAGAATTTAACCTATAGGAGAAAGATTGTTGATGCTGGTGTTTGGACAAGACTGGGAAAAAGCAAGAACTAAGTAATATATATCTGTAAGAAAATGAGGGCTAAGGAACTAGAAGACACTTGAATGGCTTTAGAATAGGAATAATCATAGACACTGTTCCACAGAAAGTGGAAAACCTTCTTTCTGTGGAAGAAGTGTGTTGGGTAATTTTTAAAATCTCTACTTATTGTTTATTCCTTTGTCCTTGTGAGCACAGTCACGTCATTATTTGCAGTCATAAGATTTCCAAGCCACAATTACCTTATACAAAGCTTTTGTTAATATTTTGTGCCATTTTCTTTCTGGCAGAACAGGCTTAAGAATGAATAACAAGTAATTTATTTGGTTAATCGATATATTGCAAGATATCTACTTTATTTTCTTCCTAAAGCTACACAAACTATCCATAGCAACTCTGTACAGTAACAGCAACACATCACCTGCTTCACTGCCTGCCTTAGCATCTCTCTACTACTCCCAGCTACGGTCATTTGAAGGCCATTTACACACTGTATTCTTCTGGTTGGGAAAAATGAGAAGCTTAGATGACAGCCATTTTACCCAATCTACCTTACTGCTAGCCTTGTTCTAAGTTTATGGGAACAAATCTTGAACTTCAAAATTAAAGGTAATACCACACACGGATGATTAGTGGTATAAATGATTAGCAGTATAAGCAGTTAGCAGTAAAAACCTAGGTCTTGTCTCCAGTGACCAGTCCCCACTTCCTGTCAGAGTCCCAGTGACTGGGTCTGTCTATTTACTGTGCCTAATTGATTGCACATTCTTCATTCAATCATTTAAGAATTATTAATTGACATCTACTTTGTGACAGGCATTATTCTAGGTAGGAGGAATACAACAGTAAGTAAAACAGACAAAAATCTCTGCCCTTAGGACTTTCATTCCAGTTGAAGAGGGAGACCAGCATAGCTGGAGCAGGGAGTGCCAGGGGAGAGCAGCAAAAGATGGCACATTTCTTTACAAGAAGTAAAGAGGTTTAGTAAAGCAATGATTACATAAGCTCTGCAAATCATGGTAGGGAGTTTGGATTTTATTTTCAGTGGGATAAGAAGCTACTCAACAGCTTTGAGCATAAAAGTAACAAGATCTTGTTTACATTTTAAAAGAATTTCTTGGGCTGCTATGTGGAAAAACTAGAGTGGGAGCAAAAAGTAGAACTAGAAGGCTTTTGTAGTTGTGTAAGGCAGACATGACTATCGTTTAGACTAGGACAAGGCAGTTGAGATAGCAAGTGGTTGATTTGTGCTAGATGTTTACGGCAGAACTGATAGAATTTGCTAATGGATTGAATTTAGGGAGGGGAAAATAGAAATCAAGGATGATTCTTAGGTTTTTACCTGAGCAACTGCGTAAAAAGAGTGCCATTTGCTATAGAAACATCAAGTTTGGACGGTTCAATTTTGGATTTGGGATATGTTAAGTCTGAGATGACTATTAGATATTCAAATAGAAGTGCCAAATTGGAAGTTGGATAGAGCCAGGAAGATGAGGAAGAAGATCATGCTGGAGAAAGACATTTGTGAGTCACCAGTGGATCTGTGTAAGCTTTTAAGGAAATAAATTTATCTGCTGTGTTCTGAGGAAAGAAGAATTTATTCCCTTGTAATGCAACTATGGTATATTTCTTTGCCATGTAAGTCCCAAAACATACCCTGTATAGGTTATATTATGTTGATTGCAAGCAACAGAAACCATGTCTGAATAACTCAGGCCAAAAAAAAGGTAAAAAGAAAAATAACATTTATTAAAAGTAATCTTTCAGTTCTCACACTGAATGAAATAAAAAGTTGAAAACCTCAACTCAGGAAAGGTAGCAACCAAGGCCTCACCAGAGACCTTAGTGGTAAGAGTTTGAGAAACTGACATTAATAATATTCAGTTCCAATGACTTCAAGTCTGCCTAAGTCACGATGATGCCCTAAAAAAGCAGGTGAAGCACTGACTGTCCCTCATCTATTAAGCAAAGGAGTAGAAATAAATCCTTGCTACTCAATATGTGGTCCTTGGGTGGACCAACAGCTTGTTTAGAATGCAGAATCTCAGATTGTACACTCTGGACCATCAATCAGAATTTTCATTTTAACAACACCCCCAAGTGATTTATATGCACATTAAAGTTTAAGAAACACGGCCAGGTGCAGTGGCTCACACCTGTAATCCCAGCACTTTGGGAAACTGAAGCAAAACGATCAATTGAGCCCAGGAGTTCAAAACCAGCCTGGGCAACATGGCAACACCCAGTCTCTACAAAATAATTGAAATATTAGCCAGGCATGGTTGTTTATGCCTGTGGTCCCAGATACTCAGGAGACTGAGGCAGGAGGATTGCTTAAGCCCAAGAGGTGGAGGCTGCAATGAGTCAAGATCGTGCCACTGCACTCCAGCCTGAGTGACAGAAAGAGCAAGACCCTGTCTCAAAAATAAATAAATATATTGAAAAACAAAGCTTGAGAAATTCATAACTAAATGGTTTTTCAGCCATAAAACACTCTGATTATCTGAACTGAGCAGGTATTTTCATGCCTCAATTAATCAACTACATTATGGAAGGCTGTTTAGATTTCTTCCCATAAAGTTATTTAAATCAGAATTATAAGCAGTTTTAAATCAAATGATCACAAAATGTTAAATTGTTTACTTAATGTATACCTTGGTTATAATAATATGCTATGGCAACATATAGACTTCTTGTGCCTCTGATGACCTTTTTTTCAAGGAAGTTCAGAGTTGCTTTTGTGGCAAACCTACTCTGGTGACTGACAGATTTATTGTAATTCATTTAGTCACTTAAGATTCATAGATTTGATAGTCTGATTATGTCAAATTGCTCTAAAGTAGTCTTTTATTTATACTACATAGCTGCTTTCATTGATCAGAATTCTATATTTGCAGCACTCTTTTTTCATATTCTTTTCCTCACTTTTATGACCAGGTTCTTGGGAATTCACACTATCTACCAAATATTATAAAATTATAAGTATGAGAGAACATCTATAAATATTAATGCCATTGTTTGAGGAAAAGGAGTGCCAATTTTTATTTGATGGAAGTAAACATTGGCAGCTCATTAAAATTTTGGCTCAGAATTGTGGTCCAGAAAACCAATAGGTCTTGAAATGGAATGCAGACCTGCCTATGAACTCATAATCCCCCTACATAATTTCCATGATTTCTTAAATAAGCTTGTCTAAAGAATCCTCCTAGAAATATATCTAGTAGATATGCTTTAAGGGAAATCTGCCAAAATTTTAAAGTAGATTAGCTATTATAATTACCCATTAACACCATTTCGTGAAACGTAGCCCTTAAACCTCTTATATTAGAATCACCTTGGAAGCTTATTAAAATATAGATTCTATGCCCATTCCAGACCTACCAAATTCAAACCTCAGGGGTGAGGTCCAGGAATCTGCATTTAAAAATAGTTCTTTTGGTAAGTCTTATGCACACTAAAGTTATAGAATCACTGTACTAAACATTGCATTCTCAAGTTTAGTTTTCCACTGACATTAGCGTCAATTTCCAACAACTGAGCAAAGCGTTCACCTTTATTGTTTCACGTTGTATTTGCTCAGACTCTCTGAGCTTCACATGGGAATGACATTTTGACAAGTACATGGCTTAATTTTTTTTCTATTTTTCCAAAGGCTTTGAACAAATATTGTTTCTTGACAACTCATTAAGACAATATGTACCAAGACATAACATTTCCAGAACACCTGAGAAAATTGCCTTGGTCAGGATGGGGAATCAATTTTCATAGAGCATCACAGATCCCTCGTATGTGGGGGAGGGGGGAAAAGAAAAGGAAAACTACGAAAAGTGATCAATTTAATTTAATATTTCAAAATAAAAAATACATCTGCTTTAAAATTTAAGAACAGAAAACTTTCCAAAATTGATGCAACCGTATTATTTTTCATCATACTTGCTTATTAACTCCATAATAGAGACAAGGTGGAAGTTCTTTCATTATCTTACACCACATATAAAACAATATGGATATCTCTATAGTGGCTCTAGCATGCTTACCACATAGTACATGTAGAAAATACTCATTATTTGAATGAATAAATGGCATACACAATATATGCATTGTACATACTTTTTCGTAATCTGATTTTTTCCTTTATCAATAGACCATATAATTTTTCTATAACAATAGATTATAATATTCTATTATATGGATGTACCATAATTCATTTAACTTATCCTCTGTTGGTGGACATTTACTTTCAATTTTATACTACTAAGGCAATTCTGAAATAAACAGTTGTAGAATTATCTGGCTATTTGAGGGAAAATTCCTAAAGAAGAACTGCTGAGTCAAAGCTAATATATAGTTAAAAGTTTTGATACATGTTGTCCTCTTGAAATGTTGTTCAATGCCATTAAAATGTATAACTCACTATTTTCCCACAACATATATTTTTATCAATCTAATAGTCAACAAATGTAACTTCATTATTTTACTCACATGTATTTAATTTTCAGTAAGACCATGTCTGTTTTTTAATATTTATTACCGCACTTACAATTTTTCTATGAATTGCCTTTTATGATCTTTAATTCATGTTTCTAATGAAATAAAACAGAAAACTTTATTTTTACATTTTTTTCAGAGCTGGCATTTCTTTTTATATATATATATTTTTAATTATACTTTAACTTCTAGGATACATGTGCACAACGTGCAGGTTTGTTACATATGTGTACATGTGTCATGTTGGTGTGCTGCACCCATTAACTCGTCATTTCCATTAGGTATATCTTCTAATGCTATCCCTCCCCCGTCCCCCCACCCTACAACAGGCCCCGGTGTGTGATGTTCCCCTTCCTGTGTCCAAGTGTTCTCATTGTTCAATTCCCACGTATGAGTGAGAACATGCAGTGTTTGGCTTTTTGTCCTTGCAATAGTTTGCTGAGAATGATGGTTTCCAGCTTCATCCATGTCCCTATAAAGGACATGAACTCATCATTTTTTATGGCTGCATAGTATTCCTCAGAGCACAGTGCAATCAAACTAGAACTCAGGATTAAGAAACTCACTCAAACCACTCAACTACATGGAAACTGAACAACCTGCTCCTGAATGACTACGGGGTACATAATGAAATGAAGGCAGAAATAAAGATGTTCTTTGAAACCAACGAGAACAAAGACACAACATACCAGAATCTCTGGGACACATTTAAAGCAGTGTGTAGAGGGAAATTTATAGCACTAAATGCCCACAAGAGAAAGCAGGAAAGATCTAAAATTGACACCCTAACATCACAATTAAAAGAACTAGAGAAGCAAGAGCAAAAGCATTCAAAAGCTAGCAGAAGGCAAGAAATCACTAAGATCAGAGCAGAACTGAAGGAGATAGAGACACAAAAAACCCTTCAAAAAATCAATGAATCCAGGAGCTGGTTTTTTGAAAAGATCAACAAAATTGATAGACCGCTAGCAAGATTAATAAAGAAGAAAAGAGAGAAGTATCAAATAGACACAATAAAAAAATGATAAAGGGGATATCACCACCGATTCCACAGAAATACGAACTACCATCAGAGAATACTATAAACACCTCTACACAAATAAAACTAGAAAATCTAGAAGAAATGGATAAATTCCTCGACACATACACCCTCCCAAGACTAAACCAGGAAGAAGTTGAATCTCTGAATAGACCAATAACAGGCTCTGAAATAGAGGCAATAATTAATAGCTTACCAACCAAAAAAAGTCCAGGACCAGATGGATTCACAGTCGAATTCTACCAGAGGTACAAAGAGGAGCTGGTACCATTCCTTCTGAAACTATTCCAATCAATTGAAAAAGAGGGAATCCTCCCTAACTCATTTTATGAGGCCAGCATCATCCTGATACCAAAGCCTGGCAGAGACACAACAAAAAAAAAGAGATTTTTAGACCAATATCCCCAATGAACATTGATGCAAAAATCCTCAATAAAATACTGGCAAACCGAATCCAGCAGCACATCAAAAAGCTTATCCACCATGATCAAGTGGGCTTCATCCCTGGGATGCAAGGCTGGTTCAACATACACAAATCAATAAACATAATCCTGCATATAAACAGAACCAGGGACAAAAACCACATGATTATCTCAATAGATGCAGAAAAGGCCTTTGACAAAATTCAACAGCCCTTCATGCTAAAAACTCTCAATAAATTAGGTATTGATGGGATGTATCTCAAAATAATGAGAGCTATTTATGATAAACCCACAGCCAATATCATACTGAATGGGCAAAAAATGGAAGCATTCCCTTTGAAAACGGGCACAAGACAGGGATGCCCTCTCTCACCACTCCTATTCAACATAGTGTTGGAAGTTCTGGCCAGGGCAATGAGGCAGGAGAAAGAAATAAAGGGTATTCAATTAGGAAAAGAGGAAGTCAAACTGTCCTTGTTTGCAGATGACATGATTGCATATCTAGAAAACCCCATCGTCTCAGCCCAAAATCTCCTTAAGCTGATAAGCAACTTCAGCAAAGTCTCAGGATACAAAATCAATGTGCAAAAATCACAAACATTCTTATACACCAACAACAGACAAACAGAGAGCCAAATCATGAGAGAACTCCCATTCACAATTGCTTCAAAGAGAATAAAATACCTAGGAATTCAACTTACAAGGGATGTGAAGGACCTCTTCAAGGACAACTACAAACCACTGCTCAACGAAATAAAAGAGGATACAAACAAATGGAAGAACATTCCATGCTCATGGATAGGAAGTATCAATATCGTGAAAATGGCCATACTGCTGAAGGTAATTTATAGATTCAATGCCATCCCCATCAAGCTACCAATGACTTTCTTCACCGAATTGGAAAAAACTACTTTGAAGTTCACATGGAACCAAAAAAGAGCCCGCATTGCCAAGTCAATCCTAAGCCAAAAGAACAAAGCTGGAGGCATCACGCTACCTGACTTCAAACTATACCACAAGGCTACAGTAACCAAAACAGCATGGTACTGGTACCAAAACAGAGATAGAGACCGATGGAACAGAACAAAACCCTCAGAAATAATACGACTTGTTTCTTATTTATTTTTTAATTGACAAGTAGAAATTGTATATATTTATGATGTACAACATAATGTTTTGATACATAAAATGGGAAACTTTACATTTTAATTAGTAACTATAACACTACAATGTTATCTGTGTTGTAATCGGATTTTTTCCTTTATCTAACTATAACACTAACTTCAATGTTATAAACACAAAATAAGAAAGACATACATAGAGAACTGAAATCAAATAAAAATTGAGAAAGACGTATATATATAATGAGACAGAGATAGTGAAAGATAGGGAGGGAAGAACAAAGTCACATAAGTAGAGGGATACATCAAAATGGACACGGAAATAGAGAACACAAAACACATATACATCTACACAGGAAGACAGCGAGGCAGACACAAAGACACACAGGAATATTCATTGATAAAGGCATAGACAGAGATCAAAATAAACAGAGACACCCAAATAAAAATAGATTGAGCACAGATGAAAAAACACACATACAAGAACACAGGAAATGACACATAGTCAGATGTGTATACACAGTTTTATAGAGAAAGTCACATTTTTTAAATACAGCACAAACACACAAAGAAAAAAATACCAAAGAGAGACATGCAAGAAAAGATGTTCAGAAAGACAGACTTAGCAACATGGGGATAAAAAACTCAGAGAGAAGACACCTTTCATAAATTAAAATTCTTAAAATATGGTTTTTAAAGATACATGTACTAAGGGTTTTAAAATTACGTAGCATTACCACCCCCAGAAGCAAAAGTTAAGGTAATATTTCTTGCTCTTCCTCTGCAGATCAGATAAGCCAAAATCAAGACCCAAATATAATCACAGACATAAATTTATCTCTTTATTCTGGAAAAAAATACTAAAAAAATGAGCCCTATTAATAAATCACTCACCGCTCCCCCCCACCCCCTGGCCCCCCCCCCCGCCCCCGAAAAAAAAAAGCACAAAGTTTGATTTGGCTAGTCAACATACATGCACTAACAATTTATCTATTGTCTTTTTTATTTAGACATAGTCATGGAATATGAAAAATAACTTTAAATAAGGTGTAAGCCCTATATAGAGAACCACAGGTATCACTAAAGCTACATCTGTCACCAAATACTAATGCCAAAATGATACTAACAACTATTAATTTCTGAATTACCATTGGGAAGGAGAGAAAGGAAAAAGCGAGACAACAGCTAAATTAACTTACATTCCCACCAACAGTATATAAGTGTTTCCTTCTCTCTTCTGTTTCATCAGAATGTGTTGTTTTTTGACTTTTTAACAATAGCCATTCCAACTGGTATGAGATGGTTGGAAAGCAGTCTGGAGATTTTTCAGAGAATTTAAAACAGAGCTATCTTAGACCCAACAATCCTATTACTGGGTATATACACAAAAGAAAGTAAATCATTCTACCAAAAAGACACATGCACTCATCTGTTCATTGCTGTGCTATTCCCAATAGCAGAGACACAGAATCAACCCAGCTGCCCATCAGTGGTAGATTGGATGAAGAAAACATGGTGCATATACATCATAAAATACCATGAAGCCATAAAAAAGAATGAAATCATGTCTTCTGTAGCAACATGGATAGAGCTGGAGGCCATCATCCTAAGCAAATAAATGCAGGAATAGAAAACCAAATACCACATGTTCTCACTTATAAGTCAGACATAATATGGGAACAATAGATGCTGTGTGCTACTAGAGGGTAGGCAGGGAGGTTAAAAAACTACCTATCAGGTACTATGCCCACTACCAGGGTGACAGGATATGTACTCCAAACCTCAGCATCACACAATATTACCATATAACAAATCTGCACATGTATCCCCCGTATGTAAGATAAAAGTTGAAAATTTCTTGAAAAAGCAAATACTAAAAAAAAGAATCAAAATAGCAACTGAAAATCAAGCATCTGACAAGATTACAGTAAAGTTAATCTAATTAGTTTCGGTTCAAGTCTCTGAGAATATAGAAAGTTCAAAAACCTCTGGTTGTTATAATCACCTTATTATTGAGTTTATCAACAGTGTGGAAATTCTATCAAACACTCATCAATCAACTATTATGAATGGCCAAAAACAAACAAACAAAAAGAGGTAACTAGAAAATCATCAATTCAGCCTTACCATACAAGACGCCGCCAAAGTATTGCAAGGATGCATAAATATTTTGAAATATGTTTAAATAATGTGTCCTGACTGCCAGTAAAAATTTTTTTTCCAAGCAAATGTTATTAAAAAATGTTTGGGCTATCCATGAATGTTTTCACAAGCATTCCTACCAGGCAACTACTGAAACCTCAGAAAAAACTCTGGCCAACAGAAGAACTCTTAAGAAAGAATCACTGAATAGAAGGTGATCTAAGGAAATGTAGACAGGAATATTTGAGCTATTAAGATGGTCCAGAAGTAAACGCATGTTTCATAAAAGCGTTTGAAACAAATAATTCTGGCCGAAAAAAATTAAACACATTTAGACAGTGAGGACACACCCAACAAAAATGTTTGTTTGTTGATCTTAACATTTTATTTTGCATGTACTTGCCAGAGCAGGAATTGACCAAAATAAGATAAATGCAAACATCTCACAGAAGGAAAAATTATAGAAAATTTGTAAGTGTAAAAAAGATGAGAAAATTTGCTTCCTGAACATAGAGCAAAATTCAGATATTTATTACTTATTTAAAGTAATAACAATTTTTCCAGCATAAGACCAGAAGCACAAAAAGTACTTAAATATCAATTATATTATACATTACTATAGATTTTATATTCACAAAATGCTGTCTTATTCCTTCAGTTAACTCACATAACACTTCTCTGAGACAAGCTGATAAGAAAGATTATTATCCCCATTTTACAGATGAAATTATATTTGCTGGATAAGCCTGTTCTTAGTCTCTTACATCACATTTGCCTCTTGGCATTATAAAATATACTTTTAAAACACTATTTTTGTTATTTTAGAAAAAAAGCTTTATGGCATACAATATTGACAAGTATTAAGAAAATAACTTATATGATAAAGGAAAAAATTAGGAATTTGTAGGAAAATATAAAAGCTTATTTATTAATGCATTTCTTTAGTTACAATTGTTAGAATACTTGCTGTCCACACTTTCTTTTCTTTTTTTTTTTTTTTTTTGAGACGGAGTCTCGCTCTGTCGCCAGGCTGGAGTGCAGTGGCACAATCTCAGCTCACTGCAAGCTCTGCCTCCCGGGTTCAAGTGATTCTTCTGCCTCAGCCTCCCGAGTAGCTGGGACTACAGGCCTGTGCCACCATGCCCAGCTAATTTTTGTATTTTTAGTAGAGATGGGTTTCACCATGCTGGCCAGGATGATTTAGATCTCTTGACCTGTGATCCACCACCTCAGCCTCCCAAAGTGCTGGGATTACAGGCGTGAGCCACTGCTCCTGACCCACACTTTATTTCATTCTATATCATAATCATCATCATAAGTCCTAAAAATACATAAAGCCCTATTTATTTTTCCAATTTTCTTTCTTAAGTTCTTGATATAAACTGGGCCTAAATCATAGACGTTATATACGGAAGTTCACACTTGAAATAATTTTCTCTTATTTGACTTGCCTAAGTTTCCTGATCTCTTTTCACATCTGCTTTTTTCTTTTTCCCTCCCACCCCTTAAATGCTGTCAGTTCGTAGGTTCTGGCATCAGTTTGTTCTTCCATGCTATTTTGCTAAATCCAGACACTTACTTGCAGGGATTCTACTGATCCCACTAAACGGCCATGGTGGGTTGAGAGCAGAAGGAGCATACCTTTATTTCTGGCCCCACTTGTCTCCCAGCTCCAGTCCTAAATTTCCAAGTGCATGATGGAGATCTCCACTTGTTCCTCATTAGTACATTAAACTCAAAATATCTAGAAGATTATTCACCAACTTTTCACCAATAAACCTAACTTTCTAATTTCCATGATGACAATATTATTCTTCTAATCACCTCTTTAAAAAAATCTCCCCAGTTCCTGCGTCTCTAGGTCCAACTGCTAAATCCTATTGATTTTTACCTACTCAATATCTGTAACACTTATATTAGTCTATTCTTGCACTGCTATAAAGCAATACCTGAGGCTGGGTAATTTATAAATAAAAGAAGTTTAATTGGCTCACAGTTCCACAGGCTGTGCAGGAAGCATGATTCTGGCATCTGCTTGGCTTCTGGAGAGGCCTCAGGAAACTTACAGTCATGGTGGAAGGCCAAGGAGAAGCAGGCATGTCTTATATTGCCAGAGCAGGAAGAAGAGAGACAGGTAGGTGGTGCCATACACTTTTAAACAACCAGATCTTGTGAGAACTCATTCACTACACAGTACCAAGCGGGTATGAACCCCAAATATCTAAGACGGGTCTCAGTCAATTCAGAAAGTTTATTTTGCCAAAGTCAGGGACACGTGCCCATGATGCAGCCTCACAAGGTCCTGGTCCTGACAACATGTGCCCAAGGGGGTGGGGGCACAGCTTGGTTTTATACATTTTATGGAGACATGAGATATCAATCAATGTACGTAAGATGTACATTGGTTTAGTCCAGAAAGGCAGGACAACTTGAAGTGGGAAGGGTGCTTCCAGGTGATAGGTAGATAAAAGAAAAACCAAATGGTTTCATTCTTCTGAGTTTCTGATTAGCCTTTCCAAAGGAAACAGTAAGATATGCATTTATCTTAGTGAGCAGAGGGATGACTTTGAAAAGAATGGGAGGCAGGTTTGCCCTAAGCAGTTCCCATCTTGACTTTTCCCTTTAGCTTAGAGATTTGGGGGGTCCCAAGATTTATTTTCCTTTCACATTTTAACCTTTTTCTTTTTAAAATCCTTTGGAGAAATCATTTTAGAAGAAAATGAGTCTCTGGTCTCAGGTTTCATCTGATCCCTCATGACTAGGATGGTTTACTTGTAGAAGGGTAAGTCCCACATTATTAGAAAAGCTCATTTTTAGCAGGTTGTGAAGTCTCATGTCCTATGAAGAGAAAATAGGGGGAGGAAGGGAGAAAAACAATAACAAACAAAAAAGAACAATCCTAGAAAGTCAATACAGGCCATATTACTCTGAAGTCCATGTATCAGTAGGCAGTTATGAAAGTGGCTTATGTATGTAAATAGGTTGCTGTTATTTTCTTCTGAAGCTTAAGTTGTCTACCTTTAGTTCACAGGGCTTTAACAAAGCACAGCTTAGTTTTCAGTTATTCCAATTAGGAAAAATAGGAGAAAAAAGAAAAATAAAGATGAAAAAAATTGAACACATTATTTTGGAGACTTATCACCAGGAAAAATTTTAGAATTCAGTCCAACTGTAGAAAATAATAAAAGTTGAAAAACATTAAGCAAGTCTAAAATCTAATGACAGGTGTACTATACTTTTTGAAACATAATTTTTCTCTCTTCAGGTTCCTATTTTTACTAAAAACAAATCACGGTAGGACTGATTTACTTTATTATACTTGGCCTGTTTGTATAAAGTACAGCAAGAATAATTATTTTTCACATAGGCTTTTTTATGGAACTTTGTTTCATAGAAGGAATCTCAGATAAGACTTTTTTAAAGTCAAGCTCAGCCATGGCTTTGTACCATCAAATGCCTTTGAGCTGGGTAAATTCCTCTCCTCTTGAGATCCCAAGATAATTTGGGTCTCCTGGACCTATCAGAAAGTGAAATTCTTTACTTATCACAGGTCAGGAACCCTATACAGGGACTGTGTAGACAAGGTATGAGGCCATTGTTCCCAAGGGGTTTTTATTGGCTCTATTTAAGTCAAGTTTGATTCCTTAAAAGAAATCACACCATTCCAGTAAAATAACCAGTTTCTCCAATAGTGTCCTGTTGCAAAATAAAACATTCTTATTGCACTTATGCAAATAACTATATTGCCATAAATTAAGAATACTCACAAATAGTTTCCACATTCTGGAGAAATCAGATTGAGAGAGAGAAATCCAAATTTGTTTACAGGAGTATACTTCACTCAATTGTGACTAGCTGTAAATAAGTCAAAAGCAAAGTTTTCTTGACTCTGGAAAAGAAAACAAAGAATTATCAATGTTTTAAGCTTTTTTTAAATGATTACTTCACTCTTCTGAAGTATTAGGTCTTTACATCTCTCTTTACATTGGTCTGTGATTATATTTGGGTCTTGATTTTGGTTTATCTTGAATTGGAAAATAAATAGGGCTTCAGTCTTCTATTAGTTCGGTCCATGCAGTTAACTCCTGTTCTGCTTGACATTCATGAATATTCCATCTCTCCATGAGAGTCCTGAAAGTTTTCCTCCATTCTAATGTCACAGTCTCCAAAGTTATCAGAACTCTGCATTCAGGAAGACCTTTTAGAGCTATAAAAGCTGATTATAAAACCACCTTCTAAAGAGGACCAAAACAAGAAAACAATTGTCCATGGATGACAAAAAGTTTTAGTGCACCCACAGTCAAAAACACAACTGACAAGAAAATTTGTTACTGCTGTGGCACATAATAACTTAACATAACAGTTATAATTATTACTAATAACATACACTAAGTCATATCAGAAATATAGGAGTTTCCCACAATTTTAAAACACATACCAATAACATTTATATGAATACAGTCTAAAGAAAGCCAAACACCATCATTTCATATTTGACAATACTTCCTGTAGGATTTTTACATCAAATAAGTCATATATGTCATTTTTGGACTTTAGGGAACCTAATATCTTAAAGGAATAATTAGGTCAGAAAAAAGACATAATTTATAATTTGATTTTAGAAAGTTTTTCAAATATGAAAGGTTTAAAACGCTTGATATCACAAAATAGGGTCACAGGTCATTGTAAAATAAGTCATTAATTTAACCAAAGTGATAATTTGAAGATTTCAAAAACAAGGTGAAAACTGTTATTCTTTGAGAGAGGAGACTTAATTTTCCAAACAATAATCCCTAATAAAAACAGCATGAGGCCAATTAAATTTGTTTTTCAAACTTTTATAAACAATCTATAAAATTTTAATCATCTTGACCATACAATATAATTTCCATAAGCCTTTTACAACCTTTATAACCTTTATTAAGGAGTGGGTTAATGCTTCAAGAAAACCTTGTTAATATGACATAGGGGCCCATATACTGGTCTTGCATCAGTGTGCCTTTGACATTGGTGGTTAATTTACAGGGAAATTGAACCTATTTTATGTTTCAAAATCGGCCCTTACAATATCACCCATCTCTTCCATGATAGTCCCTGATCCTTACGAGCTGAATATCTTTAATTTCTGGCCTTGTGTCTCACGAACCCAATTTATTTTGATTGGCATCTTCCACTGGATCTAAAGATAAGGCTTTAACTACTGTCAGTGTTAAGATTTAGAAGGACTTGATGTCCTTTTTAGACCCAGGAGTCAAAGCCCTATAACTTACTTAATGGCACAAGGACTTTAAAATCACATACAGAAAGTTACACAGATGCAATAATCTTAATTTTAAGAAAACTTTTTAATCTCAGTTTTTTCTAAGCATACCAAACTTAGTAATAATGACGTGGGAATTATTTTGATAAAGTGTAAGATCTAATTATTAGGCCAGTTACCCAAAGGCAAAATAAAAGACCTTCTGCAGTGCAACTACTGTTCCCTATGGGGAATATTATGTTGGAAGGAAACATTTCCTTTAGACCTCTAAGATAAAACCTTTCTTTTCTTTTTTTTTTGCATCAGGCCACAACAGTTAGAAACTGTAGGAAAAAAAACTTATAGGAATTGAAAATGAGTTAAAGGATAGAGTTTGATTTCAGGTCTTTTAAAAGACGAGAGAAAGCTGAAAACAGCAAGATGCAGTAAAAGTTAAACTTTGCATTAAAAAAATTATAATGTCTTGTAATTTATTAAGAGTAGAGCAATACCTTAAGAAAATGTCATGGTTTGAACCAATTCTTTCATGTATAAGTGTGTTTTTTAATCAAAACTCAATCTCTAGAAAGACCATTATAATTTCCCTCTAATTATAGACAGCTTGGTCACATAAAAGTTTTTCTTTTTTTTAATAGATCCTCTCATTATGACTTACACTGACCATTCATGACTGCTTGGAAGTTCTGGTTTGTCCTGAACATCCCTCATTTTTAAAACAACCAGTTATTTTATTCTAGGACAAAATTTACCATATAAGCTTCTTTCTCATATAAAGTCATTTTTCTTTAAGCTTTCTTACCAAAAATACCTCTTTAATTATATTAATATAACTTTCTTTACATCTGTCTTATTTCCTGGTTTCTTTTTCCTTGTTGTATACATAACCCTTAAAGAAGCTTTGAATTAGACAACAATTATTCACCTTTTAAAAAGGATACACTTTAGAAAGAATGTTTTCTTACAATTTTTTTGAAAATACCCAATTGATGAAATACCTATTATTTAATTTAACTTTAGTTTCTAAATTATGACAAGTTTGTCTACAAATATTTATCCCATTACATTTACCTAATTATTTTAATAGTGTACCTAGATTATTTATGATACCTGCAATAGTCATCATTTTAAGTTATGAAACTATAACTGCAAAATTATAACTGGGACAATGAAAAAGGTCTGACCCAACCTACTCCATTTTGCTTTTAACCTCTAAGCTGCCCTTGTTCATTTCCGGGCATTGGATGAATTAACTTTGGGAGTATCATAGTTTATAGTTTAGTTTTGAAAGAGATGATAACAGTCCCTCACAAAACAAACCCCCTTCCTGCCTGGGGACTTGACTGCCTAAAGCTATAGATTAGAAGTTATGGCTATTTCACTAAATAATTCAATATTTAGCTATTTTCATTGAATCAATATCAACCTCTTATTTATCAAAAATTATGCAAGCAAAGATAATTGTATTTTGGGCTGGGTTTATAGTTTTGTATCCCTTATGCCAAATTTTGACACCTTATAGTATTTGGCAGAGATAAGTATGAAATTGCTTGATCAATAAATGAAAATAAACATGTATGCTGAAAATTCTTAAGCCATTTCTACTGTTCTTTACCAATAATTTTAAAGCTAGATTATTAAAGATTTTACTTAAGTCACATGAACTTAAAAACCATTGGGGTTCATTATTTAATTGATGACTACTCACTAAGCCAATTTGGTACCTTGTGGCCAAAACACAACAAAATACATGTACGTACACATAAACACACACATACATTTTCATACACTAAAGATCCTATAGCTTTTACTTCAGAACTCTAGCCGTGAGATATTAATACAAACTTATTGGTCTGCGAAAACAGTAATGAAAAGGAATGGTTGGAGTCTAACAGTGGATTTTATCTTGGTCAAAAAGTAATAGCAGCTTTAAAGCAGGGAGAAAAAAAAACAGAGAAAAAGAGAACTTAAGAACTCTGTAGTTTGAAGGTCGATCTTAGTGCCCCTTTTCTTTCATGTAAATGTGCACAAAGACCATAATAATTCTATTTTAGACAAACTCTAACAAGTAGAGGTGCCATAAAACCAATGGAGTGCCCCAAAGGGGGTCATTCTCCTTGTTTTATCCTCGTTTTTAGATTATTAATTTCCCACTTTTCTTTTTCTTTTTTTTCTTAAAAGGAGGAACTGAGCTATGGCCTAGGGTTTTTGTGGTGTGTGCTGATTGTGGGTGGGACTCCATAGTGTGTTACCACTGAGTTGTTGCCACCCTCTTTCATGTCTCAGTTTCATTCTCTGGAGGTCTACCACCTCCAGGAGGGCTCAAAGCTCAGTGACCAGCTCCCATATGTGCTTCCTGGATGAGCCCTTTTTTAAACAAGTTTGATGGGGATTCTCCATAGGGCTGCTGCAAATCACAGGTGGTCAACCCTCTCTACACTCCCACGAGGCCCCTGGTCACCCACGGGTGCCTTTCAGCTGGGTGGAGCAAAATGTTCATTCTCTTCGAAGCTAAGAAAACTAAATCTCTCATTTACCTATGAAAACAACAGTTCAGCTTCTCACGCAAATGTGCACATACAAGCCAAACTGACATTAATTCTGGGAGAAAAAGCAATAGAGAAGACCCTTTAGAATGCATCTCCGAATTAAAAGTAGAATCCTTAAACAATAACTTCCTAGGAGAGAAAGAAAGGAAAAAAAAAGCCAAAACCACTTCCTGTAAACCACCTTCAGCCACCCCTAACTTTGGAGTTCTTGCCTACCATTATACACACCAAGGTCAAATCTTCTCACAGTACAAGGTAATCTCTAATAGCCCCAAAGCCAAAGAGGTCAAGTCATGCAATACAGGAGAGCAGAGCTTTAGACCTAAGAAGAATGTGCCCATGACTCTTGGAACTCCACAAAGAAAACAGAACATCCCAAAAGGGGTGAGTGGTGTCTTTGTTCTGAGTTCTCTAAGGAGTTTGAGTCATTAGAAGCCTTCTCTCTAGATTTTTCTTGGTACTGAAGATGACAAAGGGGGAAGGCGGTATGGGGTGGAAGAAAAGTAAACAAAAGAACAATTGTTGTTTTGTTTCCTTTTTTTTTTCAGACAGGAAGCAAACACAGAAACCAAATGCCTAGTTTTGGGTTTTTGTTTTTTGTTTTTTCCTCTTTTACAGCTGTGAGGAATTTTAGCCAATTCAGAGAGGACTTGTTACCCATACTTTGAAATTCTCATTCAGATTTGACCAAGTCATGTAGGGTTGGTCAAATCTGAAAGGAGAAGGACCAGAACAAACAAAAACAACAACAACAAAACCAACAATATGATTACTGAGCACTCTAATGGTAAGGAGAAATTAAGATCAGCTGGTTGTTAATCTTAACTTTAGCCAAGACAAAACCCCAATTCAGCTACTTATGTAGGGTTGGGTCTCAGACTGAAGACTTCTCTCTTCCACTCTGGAAGCAGGAAAAAACTCAAACTCACCTTCCCTGTTGGAAGCAAGCTCAAACTCTAGAAAGGAGTTACCTCCCTTTCATCATCATGGAAGCAGGAAAACTTGCCTCCTTTGCTGGAAGCAAGTAAAACTCCCCCTTCCTCGAACCAAGAAAAAGGAGTTTTACAGCAGAATAAACTTTAGATCTTGATCAAATCTGGGGGGATCAGGGATTCTCTGAAGGCGATGCTTCCAGGCCTCAGCAAATTATTCTATTGGTTTGACCCATAAAGACAGCTCAAACTGGTACTAAGCACCAACAGGAGATATGTCAAAGGTCAGGGGAACCTCTACTCAGAATCCATTTGTGATTGCCAAATGTGAACTCCAAATATCTGAGACAGGTCTCAGTCAATTCAGGATGTTTATTTTGCCAAAGTTAAGGACACGTGCCCATGATACAGCCTCACAAAGTCCTGACTACATGTGTCCAATGTGGTCAGGGCACAGCTTGGTTTTATACATTCTAGGGAGATATGAGACATCAATCAATATATGTAAGATGTACATTGGTTTGGTCTGAAAAGGCAGGATAACTCCAAGAGGGAGCAGGGAGTGGGGTTGGGGGGCGCTTCCAGGTCATAGTGAGAGGTGACAGCGTGCTGGCAGTCCTCACAGCCCTTGCTGGCTCTCGGCGCCTCGTCTGCCTGGGCTCCCACTTTGGCGGCACTTGAGCCCTTCAGCCCACTGCTGCACTGTGGGAGCCCCTTTCTGGGCTGGCCAAGACCGGAGCCGGCTCCCTCAGCTTGCAGGGAGGTGTGGAGGGAGAGGCGCAAGCAGGAACTGGGACTGCACGCCGCGCTTGCGGGCCAGCTGGAGTTCCGGGTGGGTGTGGGCTTGGTGGGCCCGCACTGGGAGCAGCCGGCTGGCCCTGCTGCCCTAGGCAATGAGGGGCTTAGCACCTGGGCCAGCGGCTGCGGAGGGTGTACTCGGTCCCCAGCCGTGCCAGCCCACCGGCGCTGCTCTCTATTACTCACCAGGCTTTAGCTGCGTTCCCGCGGGGCAGGGCTGGGGACCTGCAGCCTGCCATGCCTGAGCCTCCCACCCCCTCCATGGGCTCCTGTGCCTCCCGAGCCTCCCTGAGGAGCGCCGCCCCCTGCTCCAGGGCGTCCAGTCCCATCGACCACCCAAGGGCTGAGGAGTGTGGGCGTCCAGCACGGGACTGGCAGGCAGCTCCACCTGCAGCCCGGTGCGGGATCCACTGGGTGAAGCCAGCTGGGTTCCTGGGTCTGGTGGGGCCTTGGAGAACCTTTGTGTGGACACTCTGTATCTAGCTACTCTGGTGGGAAGGTGGAGAACCTTTGTGTCTAGCTCAGGGATTGTAAACGCAACAATCAGAGCCCTGTCAAAAACAGACCACTGGGCTCTACCAATCAGCAGGATGTGGGTCGGGCCAGATAAGAGAATAAAAGCAGGCTGCCCGAGCCAGCAGTGGCAACCGGCTTGGGTCCCTTTCCACACTGTGGAAGCTTTGTTCTTTCGCTCTTTGCAATAAATCTTGCTACTGCTCACTCTTTGGGTCCACACTGCCTTTATGAGCTGTAACACTCACAGAGAAGGTCTGCAGCTTCACTCCTGAAGCCAGCGAGACCACGAGCCCACCAGAAGGAATGAACAACTCCAGGCGCGCCGCCTTAAGAGCTGTAACACTCACAGCAAAGGTCTGCAGCTTCACTCCTGAGCCAGCGAGACCACGAACCCACCAGAAGGAAGAAACTCCGAACACATCTGAGCATCAGAAGGAACAAACTCCAGACGCGCCAACTTAAGAGCTGTAACATTCACCGGAGGGTCCCCGCCTTCATTCTTGAAGTCAGTGAGACCAAGAACCCACCAATTCCAGACACAATAGGTAGATAAGAGACAAACCAAAGGGTTGCATTCTTTGAGTTTCTGATTAGCCTTTCCAAAGGAGGCAATCAGATATGCATTTATCTCAGTGAGCAGAGGGATGACTTTAAATAGAATGGGAGGCAGGTTTGCCCTAAGCAGTTCCCATCTTGACTTTTCCCTTTAGCTTAGTGATTCTGAGGTCCCAAGATTTACTTGCCTTTCACAAGGAGATGGTGCTAAACCATTAGAAACTGCCCCCATTATCTAATCACCCCCTATCAGGCCCCACCTCCAACACTGGGGATTATAATTCAACATGAGATTTGGGCGGGGACATAACCAAACCATATCATTCTGCCCCCTGGCCCCTCCACATTTCCTGTCCTCCTCACATTGCAAAATACAATCATGCCTTCCCAATAGTCCCCCAAAGTTTTAACTCATTCCAGCATTAACTCAAGAGTCCAAAGTCCAAAATCCCATCTGAGACAAGGCTAGTCCCTTCCTTCTTTTTTTTTTTTTTTTTTTTTGAGACGCAGTCTCGCTCTGTCGCCCAGGCTGGAGTGCACTGGCACAATCTTGGCTCACTGCAAGCTCTGCCTCCCAGGTTCACGCCATTCTCCTGCCTCAGCCTCCCAGCTAGTCCCTTCTTTCTATGAGCCTGTAAATTCACAAACAATTTAGTTACTTACAAGATACAATGGGGGTATCTGACTGTTACTTGACCCATTGTATTCTTTTTGTTTTCATTTTTTAAATGTTTACCAGACTTTATTTTTAGAGCAGTTTTAGGTTTACAGCATAATTGAGAAGAAATTACAGAAATTTCCATAAACCCTCTGCCCCACTCACATAAGTAGCCTCTCCCATTATAAATATCCCCAATTAAAGCAATACACTTGTTACAACTGGTGCTCTTACATTGACGTATCATCACCCAAAGTCCACAGCTCACATTAGGGTTCATTTTTGTACAATCTTGGTTTGGACAAATGTCTAATGACATGTTTTCACTATTTTAGTATCATACAAATTAATTTTACTGCCCTGAAAATCCTCAGTGCTCTTCTTGTTCATCTCTGTCTCCCCCCAACTTTCGGCATATACTGATCTTTTTACTATCTCCATAGTTTTGCCTTTTCCAAAGTGTCACATAGTTGGAATCATGCAGTATGTAGTCTTTTTTGATTGGCTTATTTCACTTGGTAAATGCATTTAAGTTTCCTCTGTGTTTTTTCATGGCTTGATAGCTCGTTTCTTTTCAGCACTGAATAATATTCCATTATCTGTTCCACAGACAATCAACAAACTGTTCCACAGTTTATCCATTCACCTACTGAGGGACATTTTGGTTGCTTCTAAGTTTTGGGGATTATGAATAAAGCTGCTATAAACGTCGGTATGCAGGTTTTTGTGTGGACATTTTTCAACTCCATTGTGTAAACACCAAGGAGCGCAATTGCTGAATTGCATAAAAGTCTGTTTAGTTTTGTAAGAAACTGCCAAACTATCTTTCAAAGTGGCTGTACCCTTTTGCATTCCCACAAGCAATGAATGAGAGAGTTCTTTGTTCCTCCACATCCGCACCAGCATTTGGTGTTGTAAGTGTTTTATGTTTTGGCTATTCTAATTGGTATGTTGTGGTATCTTATTGTTTTATTTTGTATTTCCCTAATGACATATGATGTGGAGCATCTTTTCATGTTTGTCATCTGTATTTCCCTGATGACATATGATATGGAGCATCTTTTCATATGTTTATTTGCCATCTGTATATCTATAAGTAAGAACATACAGTATTAGGTTTTCTGTTTCTGCATTATTTTGCTTAGGATAATAACCTCCAGCTCCATCCATGTTGCTGAAAGGACACGATTTCATTCTTTTTTATGGCTATGTAGTATTCCATGGTGTATATGTATCACATTTTCTTTATCAAGTCTACAGTTGATGGGCATCTTCATTGATTATGTTGTTTGTTTTCTTATTGTTGGTTTTAAGTGTTCTTTGTACATCTTGGATAATACTCATTTATCAGATATATCTTTCACAATATTTTTCCCAGTCTTTTTATTCTCTTGACAATGTCTTTCACAGAGCAGAAATTTTTACTTTTAATGAAGTTCAACTTACTAATTCTTTACTTTATGAATCGTGCCTTTGCTGTTTATCTAAAAAGTCATTGCAAAGCCCAAGGTCATCTAAATATTCATCTATGTTAACTTTTAGGAGTCTAAGAGTTTTGCATTTTAGTTAGTTCTTTGAGCCGTTTTGAGTTAACTTTTGTAGAGGATGTAAAGTTTGCATCTAGATTCTTTTTTTTTTTTTTATGTAGATGTCCAGTTGCTCCAGCACCATTTGTTGAAAAGACTGTCCTTGCTCCATTGTATTGCTTTTCCTTTTTAATCACAGATCAGCAGTCTATATTTATGTGGGTCTATCCCTGAGCTCCCTATTCTATTCCATTGATCTATTTGTCTGTTGTTTTGCCAATACCACACTGTCTTGATTACTATAGCTTTATAGTAAGGCTTGAAGTTTGGTAGTGTCAGTCCTCAACCTGTGTTCTTCTTCAATATTGCATTGGCAATTCTGGGCCTTTTGCCTTTCCTTATAAACACTGTAATCAGTTTGTCCTTATCCACAAAATTACTTGATGGGATTTTGATTGGGTATATTAGTCAAGGTTCTCTAGTGGGACAGAACTAATAGGAGAGATGTATTTATATAGGGGAGTTTATTAAGGAGTATTGACTCACATGATCACATGGTGAGGCCCTACAATAGGCCATCTGCAAGCTGAGGAGCAAGGGAACCAGTCTGAGTCCCAAAGCTGAAGAATTTGGAGTCTGATGTTCGAGGATAGGATGCATCCAGCACAGGAGAAAGATGCAGCCTGGGAGACTAAGCCAGTCTAGCCTTTTCACATTCTTCTGTCTGCTTTTATTCTGGCCATGCTGGCGGCTGATTAAATTGTGCTCACTCAGATTGAGGGTGGGTCTGCCTGTCCCAGTCCACTGACCAAATGTTAACCTCCTTTGGCAACACCCTCACAGACACACCCAGGAACAATACTTTGTATCCTTCAGTCCAATCAAGTTGACACTTAATATTAACCATCACATTGGGGTTGCCTTGAATCTACAGATCAAGTCAGGAAGAATTAATATTGGGACAAAATTGTGGCCTATCCATGAAATGAAATCTCTCTCCACTTATTTAGTTCCTTAATTTCTTTCATCAGAGTTACATAGTTTTTCTCATTTAGATCTTGTACATTTTTTGTATTTATGCCTAAGTATTTCATTTCTCAGGGTGCAAATATAAATGGCACTGTGTTTTAAATTTCAAATTCCACTTGTTCATTGGTGGCATATAGGTAAATGATTGACTTTTTAATATTAACTTTGTATCCTGCAACCTTGATTTAATTGCTGTTAGTTCCAGGGGTTTTACCAGTACTTTCAAATTTTCTACATAGATATCATATCATCAGTGAACAAAAACAGTTGTTTATTCTTTCCCAACCTATATAACTTCTTTTTCTTTTTAAACTTTTTTAGTTAGGACTTTCAGTATGGTGTTGAAAAGCAATTGTAAGAAGGAAGATTCTTGCTTTATTTATAATCTTAATGGGAAAGCTTTGAGTCTCTCATCATTGAGTACAACGTTAACTGTAGAGTTTTTTGCAGACATTCTTTCTCAAGTTGAAGAAGTTTCCCTCTACACCTAGTTTGCTGAGTTTTATCATAAAGGATGTTGGAATTTGTCAAATGCTTTTCTGCATCTATTGATATGATCATGCTATTTTTCTTCTTCAGCCTGTTAGTGTGATGTATTACATTAATTGATTTTCAAATGGTGAATTAGCCTCACATATCTAGGATAAATCCCACTTGGATGTGGTGTATAATTATTTTTATACATTGTTGGGTTTAATTGGCTGGATTTTGTTGAGGATTTTGGCATCTATCTTCATGAGAGAAATTGGTTTATTGTTTTTTTTTTTTCTTATAGTGTCTTTGCCTGGTTTTGGTAGTGTGTAAAGCTGGCCTTATGCAATGAGTTACCAAGTATTCCTTCTCTTTCTGTCTTCTCAAAGAGATTGTAAAGAACTGGTATCAGTGGCTGGCAAGATGGTCAAATAGGAACAGCTCCGGTCTGCAGCTCCCAGCAAGATCAACGCAGAGGTGGGTGATTTCTGCATTTCCAGCTGAGGTACCAAGCTCATCTCACTGGGACTGGTTAGACAGTGGGTGCAGCCCATGGAGGGTAAGCCAAAGCAGGGTGGTGTGTTGCAACACACCTGGGAAACTCAAGGGGTTGGGGAACTCCCTACCCTAGCCAAGGGAAGCTGTGAGGGACTGTGTGGTGATGAATGGTGCATTCTGGCCCAGAAACTATGCTATTCCCATGATCGTCACAACCCGTAGACCAGGAGATTCCCTCAGATGCCTATACCACCAGGGCCCTAGGTTTCAAGCACAAAATTGGGCACCCATTTGGGCAGACACTGAGCTAGCTGCAGGAGTTTTTTTTTCATACCCCAGTGGCACCTGGAATGCCAGAAAGACAAAACCTTTTACTCAACTGGAAAGGGGGCTGAAGCCAGGGAGCCAAGTGGTCTAGCTCAGCAGATCCCAACCACATGGAGCCCAGTAAGCTAAAATCCACTGGCTTGAAATTTTCACTGCCAGCACAGCAGTGTGAAGTCAACCTGGGATGCTCAAGCTTGGTGGGGAGAGGGGCATCTGCCATTACTGAGGCTTGAGTAGGCAGTTTTCACTGTGTAAACAAAACTGCCGGGAAGTTCGAACTGGGTGGAGCACACCGCAGCTCAGCAAAACTGCTGTAGCCAGACTGCCTCTCTAGATTCCTCGTCTCTGGGCAGGGCATCTCTGAAAGAAACGCAGCAGCCCCAGTCAGGGGATTATAGATAAAACTCCCATCTTCCTCGGACAGAGCACCTGGGGGTAGGGGCAGCTGTGGGGGCAGATTCAGCAGACTTAAAACGTTCCTGCCTGCTGGCTCTGACGACAGCAGTGGATCTCCCAGCACCGCGCTCTAGCTCTGCTAAGGGACAGACTGCCTCCTCCAGTGGGTCCCTGACCCCGTGCCTCCTGACTGGGAGACACCTCCCAGCAGGGGTCGACAGACAACTCATACAGGAGAGCTCCGGCTGGCATCTGGCAGGTGCCCCTCTGGGATGAAGCTTACAGAGGAAGGAACAGGCAGCAATCTTTGCTATTCTGCAGCCTCTGCTGGTGTTATCCAGGCAAACAGAGTCTGGAGTGGACCTCCAGCAAACTCCAGTAGACCTACAGCAGAGGGGCCTGACTGTTAGAAGGAAAACTAACAAACAGAAAGGAATCACATCAACATCAATAAAAAGGACGTCCACACCAAAACCCCATTCGAAGGTCACCAGCATCAAAGACCAAAGGTAGATAAATCCACAAAGATGAGGAAAAACCAGCACAAAAAGGCTGAACATTCCAAAAACCAAAACGCCTCTTCTCCTCCAAAGGATCACAACTCCTCACCAGCAAGGGAACAAAACTGGATGGAGAATGAGTTTGATGAATTGACAGAAGTAAGCTTCAGAAGGTGGGTAATAACAAACTCCTCCAAACTAAAGGAACATGTTCTAACCCAATGCAGGGAAACTAAGAACCCTGAAAAAAGGTTAGAGGAATTGCTAACTAGAAGACCCAGTTTAGAGAAAAACATAAATGACCTGATGGAGCTGAAAAACACAGCATGAAAATTTCATGAAGCATACACAAGTATCAACAGCTGAATCAATCAAGTGGAAAAAAGGATATCAGAGATTGAAGATCAACTTAATGAAATAAAGCATGAAGACAAGATTAGAGAACAAAGAATGAAAAAGGAATGAACAAAGGCTCCAAGTAATATGGAACTATGTGAAAAGACCAAACCTATGTTTGATTGGTGTACATGAAAGTGATGGAGACAATGTAACCAAGTTGGAAAACACTCTTCAGGATATTAGCCAGGAGAATCCCAACCTAGCAAGACAGGCTAACATTCAAATTCAGGAAATACAGAGAACAACACAAAGATACTCCTTGAGAAGAGCAATCCCAAGACACATAATCGTCAGATTCACCAAGGATGAAATGAAGGAAAAAAATGTTAAGGGCAGCCAGAGAGAAAGGAACAGAACAGAGGCCCCAGAAATAACGCCATACATTTACAACCATCTGATCTTTGACAAACCTGACAAAAACAAGCAATGGGAAAAGGATTCCCTATTTAATAAATGGTGTTGGGAAAACTGGCTAGCCATATGCAGAAAACTGAAACTGGACCCCTTTCTTACAACTTACACAAAAATTAACTCGAGATGCATTAAAGATTTAAATGTAAGACATAAAATCATAAAAACCCTAGAAGAAAACCTAGGCAATACCATTCAGGATATAGGCATGGGCAAAGACTTCATGACTAAAACACCAGAAGCAATGGCAACAAAAGGCAAAATTGACAAACGGGATTTAACTAAACTAAAGAGCTTCTGCACAGCAAAAGCAATTATCATCAGAGTGAAAAGGCAACTTACAGAATGGGAGAAATTTTTTGCAATCTAGCCATCTGACAAAGGGCTAATATCTAGAATCTACAAGGAACTTAAACAAATTTACAAGAAAAAGACAAACAACCCCATCAAAAAGTGGGTGAAGGATATGAACAGACACTTCTCAAAAGAAGACATTTATGCAACCAAAAAACATATGAAAAAAAGCTCATTATCCCTGGTCATTAGAGAAATGCAAATCAAAACCACTACGAGATATGATCTCATGCCAGTTAGAATGGCAATCATTAAAAAGTCAGGAAACAACAGATGCTGGAGAAGATGTGGAGAAATAGGCATGCTTTTACAGTTGGTGGGAGTGTAAATTAGTTCAACCATTGTGGAAGACAGTGTGGCAATTCCTCAAGGATCTAGAACCAGAAATACCATTTGACCCAGCAATCCCATTACTGGGTATATACCCAAAGGATTATTAATCATTCTACTATAAAGACACATGCACAAGCATGTTTATTGCACCACTGTTCACAATAGCAAAGACTTGGAACCAACCCAAATGCCCATCAATGATAGACTGGATGAAGAAACTGTGGCACATACACACCATGGAATACTATGCAGCCATAAAAAAGGATGAGTTCATGTCCTTTGCAGGGACATGGATGAAGCTGGAAACCATCATTCTCAGCAAACTAACACAGGAACAGAAAACCAAACACTGCATATTCTCACTCATAAGTGGGAGTTGAACAATGAGAACGCATGGACACAGGAAGGGGAACATCACACACCGGGGCCTGTAGTGGGGTGGGGGGCTAGGGGAGGGATAGCATTCGGAGAAATACCAGATGTACATGATGGGTTGATGGGTGCAGCAAACCACCATAGCACGTGTATACCTATGTAACAAAACTGCACATTCTGCACCTGTATCCCAGAACTTAAAGTATAATATAAAAAGAACAAAAAAAAGAACTGGTATCATTTCTTCCCTAAACGATTGGTAGAATTAATCAGTGAACCCATCTGGGCCTGATACTTTCTGTTTTGGGAGGTAATAATTGATTTGATTTTTTTTAACCAGATATAGGCTTATGCAGATTATCTTTTTCTTCTTGCCTGAGTTTTGGCCAACTCTCTCTCAAAGAATTGGTCCATTTCATCTGTATCATCAAATTTGTGGGCATAGACTTGTTCATAGTGTTCCTTTAATATCTTTTTAATCTCCATGGGATCAGTCATGATGTTCCTTCTCTCATTTCTAATATTAGTAGTTTGTGCCCTTTCTTTCTTTTCTTTTCTTTTTTTTTTTAGTTAGCCTGGCTAGAGGTTTATTGATTTTGCTTTTGCTTTCATTTATTTTCTGTATTATTTCCTGTTTTCAATTTCATTGATTTCTGGTGTAATTTTTATTTCTTTTCTTCTGCTTACTTTAATTTGCTCTTTTTTCTAATTTCCTAAAGTAGAAGCTTAGATGTTTGATTTTAGACTTTTCCTCTTTTCTAACATACGCATTCAATGCTATAAATTTCCCTGTAAGCACTGCTTTTACAGTATCTGTGAATTTTGATAAGCTGTTTTCATTTTATTTTCTTTAAAATACTTTTAATACCTCTTGAGATTTCCTCTTGACCAATTTGTTATTAAGAAGTGCATTAATTTCCAAGTATTAATCGGTTTTCCAGCTACCTTTCTGTTATTGGCTTCTAGTTTAACTCTATCATGGTCTGGGAGTAGACATTGTATGATTTATTTATTTATTTATTTATTTTTTGAGACAGAGTCTTGTTGTTGCCCAGGCTGGACCGCAGTGGCGCGATCTCCGCTCACTGCAGGCTCCACCCCCCGGGGTTCATGCCATTCTCCTGCCTCAGCCTCCCGAGTAGCTGGGACTACAGGCGCCCACCACCACGCCTGGCTAATTTTTTGTATTTTTAGTAGAGACGGGGTTTCACCGTGCCAGCCAGAATGGTCTCGATCTCCTGACCTCATGATCCGCCCTCCTCGGCCTCCAAAAGTGCTGGGATTACAGGTGTGAGCCACCGCACCCGGCGACATTGTATGATATTTTGAATTTGTTAAAGTGTGTCTAATGGCCTAGAATGTGATCTTTCTTAGTGAATGTTCCAGGTTAGTTTGGGAAGAATTAATATTCTGTTGTTGGATGAAGTAGTCTATAGATGTCCATTATATTCAGCTGATTGATGGTATTGTTGAGTTCAACTATATCCTTACTGATTTTATGTTTGCTAAATCAGTCCATTTCTGACAAAGCAGAGTTGAAGTATCCAATTATAACAGTGGATTAATCTTTTCTCCTTGGAATTTTATCAGTTTTTACACATGTGTTTTGATTTTGTGTTGTTAGATGCATACATATTAAAGATTGTTATGTCTTCTTTGTAGAATTGACCCCTTAATCATTACGTAATGCCCCTTTTCATACCTGATAACTCTCCTTGCTCTGAAGTTTCCTCTGTCTGAAATTAATATAAGCTACTCTATGACTAGTTGTATCATGGTATATCTTTCTCCATTCATTGACATTTATTTTATATGTTTTTTTATATTTAAAGTGAGTTTCTTACAGACTACATATATTGGGTCTTGTCTTTTGAGCCACTCTATCTCTGTATTTTAATTGATACATTTAGGCCATTAACATTCAAAGCAATTGTGAATACAGCTAGATTAATATCTACTATATTTGCTACTGTTTTCATTTCATTGAACTTGTCCTTTGTTCCTGATTTTGCTCTTCTAGTCTTTTTCTGCTTTTTGTGGTTTTAATTAAGCATTTTCTATAATTCCATTTTCTCTTATTTCTTACCCTCTCATCTATATTTTGTTAAAAAAATTTTGGGGGTTGCCCCAGAGTTTACAATCTATATTTACAACTAATCTAAGTCCATTTTTCATCACACTATATAATTTCACGCACAGTGTGGGTACCTTGTAATAAAATAATCCTAATTCTTCCCTTTCATCCCTTGTATTATTGGTTGTATCATTCAGTTCACTTATATGTAAGCATACATAATTACATACCTGAATACATTGTTGATATTCTTATTTTGAACAAACTGTTATATTTAAGATCAATAAAGAATAAAAAATAAAAGTTTTCATTTTACTTTCAGTTATTCCTTTTCTTTTCTGGGCAGGCAGGGGGAGGTGTGGGGATGAAGTCTCGCTCTGTCGCCTAGGCTGGAGTGCAATGGCATGATCTTGGCTCACTGCCACCTCCACCTTCACCTCCCGGGGTTCAAGTGATTCTCCTGTCTCAGGCTCCCGAGTAGCTGGGACTACAGGAGTGTGCCACCAGGTCAGGCTAATTTTTTGTATTTTTAGTAGAGACAGGGTTTCTCCATGCTGCCCAGGCTGGTCTTGAACTCCTGGCCTCAAACAATCCACCCACCTTGGCCTCCCAAAGTGCTAGGATTACAGGTGTGAGTCACCACAACCAGCAGAATATACAATAATGATGTAAAATATTAATAGTAAAGAAAAGTGGGCCAGGCGCAGTGGCTCACACCTATAATCCCAGCACTTTGGGAGGCCGAGGCAGGCGAATCACCTGAGAGTCAGGAGAGCAAGACCAGACTGGTGAACGTGGTGAAACCTTGCCTCTATTAAAAATACAAAATAATTAGCCAGGCATGGTGGTGCATGCCTGTAATCCCAGCTACTTGGGAGGCTGAGGCAGGAGAATGGCTTGAACCCGGGAGGCGGAGGTTGCAGTGAGCCAAGATTGCACCACTGCATGCCAGCCTAGAAGACAGAGCAAGACCCTGTATCAAAAAAAAAAACAAACAAACAACAACAACAACAACAAAAGATGATGATGCATTTGTCACAATTAATGAACCAATACTAATATATTATCTTTGATTGAAGTCAATACTTTATTCAGATTTCCTTAGTTTTAACTAATGTCTTTCTTTTGTTCCAAGATCACATCCAGGATGCCACATTATATTCAGTAGCCATGTCTCCTTAGGCTCCTCTTGGTTGTGGTAGTTTTTCAAACTGTCCTTGGTTTTGATGACCCTGGCAGTTTTAAATATTACTATTCAGGTATTTTGCACAATTTTTCTTGATTGAGATTTGCCTATTTTTTTTTAACAATTAGACTGGGCTAATATTTTTTGGAGGAAGACCACAGAAGAAGTGTGGTATTATCATCACATCACATCAAGGCTACATACTATCAAATATGGTTCATCACTATTGATGTTAACCTCAGTCACCTGGCTTAAGGTGGTATTTGTCAGGTTTCTCCACTGTCAAGTTACATTTTTGGTCTCTTTTTCCAACACTCTAGTTTTTGGAAGAGTTTTCCCTTATGTTTTTTACTGAATACTTTCTATATAAGTGAAGCTTATTGATTTTAGTATTTACATATTATTTAAAGTAACACTAAATTATAAAGAGTAGACAGTCATCAAAACATTTGCCAATTACAAAATATCAATGAGAAATTAGAGTACTACCATTAATAATGCACAAGAAAATATCTTTTTCCAATCTCATTTAAAAAAAATACTTACTTTGCTATTCAGAGCAAATGCCAGATTATGAGACCCACAGAAAGCCACCCTGATCAAAATGTGATTCATTTAGAAGTGCTGATGTATGATAAGAAATATCCTATCCAGCTCCATACCTATTATTGTGGATTATTTTTCACTCTTTACTAAATGTTTTAGTTACTCTCTGTATTCGTTATATATCGCTGCACAAAAAAATTACCCCTTCAATTTAGTGGTTTACACATCAAGCAGTTTCTGTGGATCAGGAATGTGGACATGGCTTAACTGGGTCCTCAGCTTCAGGATCTCTCACAAGGCCACAATCACGGTGTCAGCCAGGGCTATCGTCATTTCATGCTTCAACTGAGTAAGAATCTGCTTCCAAGCTCATTCTGTTTGTTTGCAGGCTTCAGTTCCTTGTGGGCTTTTTAACTCAATAGGAGAGCCTCAGTCCTTTGCTGGGAATTGGCTGGGGTTCACCTTCAGTTCCTAGCCATATGAGTTTCTCCAAAATTGTAGCTTGCTTCATCAATGTGAGCAACCCAAAAAGGCAAGATGGAATGAAAGAGTGCCCACTAGAAAGAGAAAGCTAGCAAGACTGAAGTAGTAGTCTTTCCTAACTTAATTACAGAAATGACAGTCCATCACTCTTACTGAATTCTATCTATTCTGGAAGAGGGTGATTAAGTCCACACCATACTCAAGGGAAAGGGATGACGCCAAGGTGTGACACTGGAAACTATGTCATGAGCTGCCTACCACATTATCCCTGTGATGTTCCTTCCTATGGGAGGATTCTATATCTCTCTCTATTGAACAAAGGAATGACTATGTGACTTGCTTTAAGCTCATGAACTCTGACAAAAATAACACATTTTATAATGTTTTAAGGTATTCAAATGCCCATATTATAAAAATTACCCCAGAGAGGCTGAGACTTCTGGAATGGTGGAGTGAAGAGATTGGCAAATCTTCTCCCCAAAAAGCAAAAATAAAATTGGACACTTGAAAAAAAAACTCCCAACTATCAAAATCAACCAAAGGCATACAAATAACTCAAAAACTTATATTTAAGAAAACTACTGAACCTTGGGTAAGAATGGTGTTATTTAATGGCATTTTAGCCCACACCACCTTAGGGACAGGATGGACCAGGAAAACCATCATCTTTACTGCCAAAGTGGACTGGCTTCATTTGGAGTAGAGTCGGAAGTCCCCATGTCCAGGACATTGTCAAGAACAACAGTGATTTTGGTGACAAATAATTGGGGAGGGATGATATCATAGTTAGCCTTAGGGTGTGATTAAGCTTAGAGCAAACAACAGATTAGCAGAGGAGCCAGAAACTTAATGGGAAAAAATGAAGAATGAGACAGCTTTCCTTATACTAAACACAAAAATTAACTCAAAATGGATCATAAACTCAAATGTAAGAATGAAAACTATAAAACTTCTAGAGAAACACATAATAGAAAATCTTCATGGCGCTGGAATTTCTTGGGTTAGGCAAAGAGTTCTTATATAGAACATCAAAGGCATAATGCATAAAAGAAAAAAATGACACATTGGATTTCATAAAAATTTTAAAAATTCTTGTCCCTCAAAAGACACTTAAGAAAAATGAAAAGACAAGCCACAGACTGGGAGAAGATACCTGTCAATCATAGACTTAATAAAAATGTTATCCAGAATATATAAAGAACTCTTATAATTAAATAAGAAGATAACATACAAAAGAGGCAAAGAATTTGAATAGACATTTCACCAAAGACATGGCTGATAAGTACATGAAAAGAGGCTCAATCACATTAAGTCATTTGAATTAGAAAATGCAAATTAAAACTGTAATGAGAAACCACTTTCTACCTATTAAAATGCCTATAATAAAAAAAGACAAACAAAATAAGCGTTGGTGAAGATATGGAGAAACTGTAACCCACATATGTTGCTGGTAGGAATATAAAATGATTTGTCACTTTGTACATGTTTAACAGTTTCTTAAAAAGTCATAAAAACTTCTGACATGGTACAGCACAGATGAACCTCAAAAACATGCTGAGTGAAAGAAGTCAGACATAAAAGATTACAAATATGTTTTCATTCATATGGAATATCTATAAAAGGCAAATTTTTAGACAGAAAGCAGATTAATTATTTTCTAGGGCTGGGTATAGCAATGAAGATTCACTGCAAATGCACTCAGGAGATGTTTTGGGGGCGATGGACATGTTCTAAAAGTGGACTGTGGTGGTCAGTTGCACAATTCTGTAAATTTACTAACAAACATTGAATTGTACACTAAGAATGGCTAAATGTATGAAAATTATACTTCAATAAAACTGTTATTAAAAAGGAAAACACATATGTTTAGTGCCACATCTCTCTCTCTGTGTCAGGACGATCAGTTATGTTCCAGATAGGTGTTTCAACAGCTTGGGTCCCAGAATGAACACACATAAGGAGCAGAGTGCAGGAAACTCATGATGGATGTGAACAAGAAAATAACCTTTGTTGTAAGTCACTGAGATTGAGATTTGGGAATCATTTTTTACCACAGCATAACATAGTTTATCCTGACTGCTAGACTTATCTTTCTGAGAAATAAAATATATCATTACAAATTGATATTAAATTCTTCAGTGGAGAACTTCTATTTAAGAAGTAAATTTATTATAAGTGTATTTTCTATAATTTCATAATATAAATTTATGGTTCCTTGAGTTAAAAATATAAACTTTCTGTTACATCCTTTTAGGTCTCATGTAACTCTGAATCATGTGACAAAATTATTTACATATATTTGCATAGCACTTTACCAAGAGTTGGGAATATATTAAGGAACAATATAGACATGGCCCCTACCTTCACAAAGCTTATAGTTAAAAAAAAACAAACAAACAATGCTTATTATCTGTTTGCTTTCTATAATATATTTTAAAACAACTACGTATTTATTTTCATGTTCCATGATAGTTTTTAAAATAAAGGAAGTAGATGATTGTTCTTTCAATTTAAACTTCTGTGACTATCACTTCTAATTTGCCAGATAATTTTTACAATGCATATTTTAATTTGTATTCATTTTTTATTTCTACCAGCAGATGGAACCCTTTAGATTTATTTTGTCTCAAACAGCACTATATAAACTTTTGTGATTTCTTCTAATTTTTAAGAATTCTTTTTTCTTTGATTTAATATTTATTTCTAGAACACAAGTTAATGATAATAGGCAAAGATAGTCATTCTACATTCCAAAAAAAACCTCCACATTAATAAAATTCATATCGGCATATTCAATTAAAGAATATTCAATTAAATATTCACCTATTCACCCTATCTCACTCCCCTAAGTCCCCACATTCATAAATACACACAAAAAATTTCAAGACACATGGCCTCAGGGCCAAACACTGCATTCTTTAAGATGTTATGGTACTTTGCAGAAACATTTGTATGCATCTCTGCAAAGGTGTAGAGCAAAAGACCTATTATAGGAGCAAAACCACAGCAGAATGTGGCACTCCAAAGAATGGTCAAAAAGCAGCTCTCCAGCTTTGTGGTAGCTTCTCCCTCTGCACACAGCACCGCCTGAGTTAAACCATGGTTGCTGGTTTGAGGCAAAACAGCACAGGAAAAAGGATGACTTAACTTCTATTAGAAGCCACAGGCTGGACACGGTGGCTCGTGCCTGTAATCCCAGCACTTTGGGAGGCCGAGGTGGGCAGATCACTTGAGATCAGGAGTTCGAGACCAGGCTGGTCAACATGAAGAAACCCCATCTCTACTCGAAATACAAAAAAAAATTAGCCGGGCATGGTGGTGCATGCCTATAGTCCCAGCTACTAGGGAGGCTGAGGCAGAAGAATAGCTTGAACCTTGGAGATGGAGGTTGTAGTGAGCCGAGATCGTGCCACTGCACTCCAGCGTGGGTGACAGACTGAGACCCTGTTTCAAAAAAAAAAAAAAAAAAAAAAAAAGGAAGCCACAGATATGCTTCTGTGGCTATAGCAGGCTTTGCCCCAGGAAATTTCTTCCTGAAGACTAAGGAGAGAAGAGAGAAGCTTTGTAAGTGTCTACTCTGCTTTGTTTTGAAAACAGTTTGCAACAACTGGTTCTTCCACACCTGGACTGGATGATTCAGGCTGGAGTTTATTAATGAGCTAGGTTGTGGCCTTCTCCTTACAGACTTTTATTCCAGAGACCCATGCAAGGTTATCTCACAAGAATCACAAGTTCACCGGAGAGCTGGAAACCCATCCATCTTCATTAAAATTTATTATGAAGGAAAGGTGGAAAAGAAGCAATATTGACTATACTAAAATCAAAATTTCTGTACATAATTGTATATTTTAGGACTGGCCTTCTCTGTTCTCCACTTTCCTGAAATTGTTCTCAGTCAAAAGTGGGAGAAAAAACTCATTATTATAAAAGAAACACAGCTCTGGCCCTAACAAATTTACTGTAAAGTGGCTCACACTACGTGGTCAACCTTACTTTCCACGATTCCCCATCATGAACCCAACTTTATAACCAAATCAGTGTTCTCATTGATTTTAAACTAACTGTCACATCCATGTCTCATTGTTTCCGCCTCCATTTCTTTGCTCCTGTTATCCCACCCTTAAGTCACTTTCACTTAGTACTTCCTTAGGGAATCCTCTCCCTTAAGACCTAGTCCAAGCTCTAAGTGCTAAAAGATACTATCTGTTTCTCAGCGTTCTTAGGGCTCTATCAGACACTGAAGTGTAATTCCATACTATCAGGTATTAGCTAATGTTTGTTGAAGAGACCTGCTTAGCCTGGATGAGGATGGGCATGCAAATGAAACCTGGAGTTGGAATGGTCACATGGTATGTCTAAAGAGATTGGCCTGAGGCTTTTTCAGAATTCTCCCTTATGTCAGTTACAGTATTATATAGGAGCAGTAGGTTAATTCTAACACACCTGATGTGGTTAGTCTTTGTGTCTGCACACAAATCTCATCTTGAATTGTAATCCTCATAATCCCCATGTGTAGAGAGAGGAATCAGGCGGGAGGTGATTGGATCATGGGACGGTTTCCCCTGTGCTGTTCTTGTGATAGTGAATGAGTTCTTATGAGATCTTATGGTTTTATAAAGCAGTTTTCCCTGCTGTTGCTGGCTCTCTCTTTCTTGCCGCCACATGAAGAAAGTCTTTGCTTCCCCTTCACCTTCTACAATGATTGTAAGTTTCCTGAGGCTTCACCTGCCATGCAGAACTGTGAGTCAATTAAACCTCTTTTCTTTATAAATTACCCAGTCTTGGGTAGTATCTTTATAGCAGTGTGAAAATGAACTAATACAATGCCTAAGCAAAGCATGAAAATGAAGAGTTCAACTAAACTTGTCAAGTTTCCTGAGAGTGCATGATGCAAGAATAACACAAATAAACACAATATCTGAGATGGGCACTGGAATAAGTTTATGGAGAAAACTTGAAAGAATCTAATTGTCAGGAAAAATAGAAACTCAGAAGTGTTTTGTGCTGATAGACAACTAAAGATCAGATGAGACAAAAGCTGTCTCTGAAGATGCCAGGGCTGACACATGACAACCTATGCCAAATTCTTCCTCCATCCCCATTCCCCATATCTTGGCATTTTACAAGTCTCATGGTCACTGGACCTGCACTGGGAGAACACAGCTGTAACTCCAAAATGATTGAGTTTCCAACACTCAGCAGAATGGGGTCTCACAATCAAAATTAAGTTCAGTTGATAAATGTGATTAATAGTTATATTTCTTGCAAGCTGACTGTGTTGACTGAGACTCAAGCCCAAATCTCCGTCACTTTTTGATACCCCACTATTAGGTATGGCACCAATCACTACAACCTCCAGCCCCCACGAAAAATATATTCAGAATTGATGGGAAAAAATTGAGGTTAAAAACATGTCTACACAGTATGAATGTTTTCAAATAGTTGTCCTATTGATGGAAATAATTTTGCATCATGTGTTTTAGTTGGTAGTAAAAGGAAGCCCAAATAGTTGATCCATAAGCTCTCTATGGTCACGTCCTCACCAGATTGACCAAATTTATAGGCAGAATAGCAGCAGACCCAAGTTTCTGTATTTATATTTCTTACTTGAACTTCATGATGAAAAACATAAAACTGTTCTGAGTTATTTTAACATTAAACACATTCATCCTTGGAATTGGAAAATGCTAATGCTTTCCTACGCCCATATGCCGAATAAAATTGAAAGTAAACAGAGCTAGCATATTTTGGGAATTGCTACTATAGTCATCAAAGCAATTAAAAACTCATTTCAAGGTGGTTATTATAGTAGTATTTGTTGTTATTTATATGTCTCAAGTAGGGGCACTTCTGTAGTTGTACATTATACCACATATATTATCAGTATAAAAACCAAGAAAACTTATCCATTTCATAAATATCAGGATTAGTTCTTAAGGCCTAAAATTTTCAGCTCCAACATCTTAAGGATGAAGTCCTTCCTATACTATCACAAGTTTAATATTTTGAAATAAAATTGCATTTATGGTCATAAAAGTATAATAGAGTAAGAATAATAATGTTTGATTATTTGACTCATACCTACATGAATTTCCATTTATTTGATTAGACTGCCATAACCTTCTCATAAATTAAAAGTCTTTTAAAGAATCAATAATATAATTTGTCCCAGACTATAACATTGCTTACTCTGTCTGGTATATTTGTTTACCAATGTACAAGGAGGAAAAAAATAAACTCTGTTGTAAGAACCTTATTTCCATTACGCTAAATATTATCTTAAAATTCTTAATAGAATAAGACTTTGCTATAAAGTTCCTCAGTAGGTCAATATTTTTCCCATACTTATATAATTGTTTTTATATGAGAATTTAACTCTTCAACCACAGGGTAAACACATGGAGGACAGAGAAAAAATGTTGTACAGTGTTCTTTATACCACTAGGTATTATACACTTTTGTAGGTCTGAGCTATACTTTATGTCTGGGAAAATCTCATTCTATATCTCAAGGAGCTTTATGTGTACTCCTCTCTTTTCCTTGCAAACATGTGATCCATAGAGTGCCGAGAGAAAGTGCTATTTACATAAAATTAAGCCAAAATTGAACAGCTTGTGATAGGCAAATCACAAAAGTGGCTGTCATCCTTACAAATGCCCTAAGCATCTTCGTGGTGACCGTTCATTTCCTGTGAAAGAATGAAAGTCTCTGTGTAGTCTAAACCTACTCCAGGAAACTATAACAGCTACACTGACATTTCCAACCAACCTCATAAGGCCAAGATTCTTCCCCAAAAGGAGTCCTGATCTTGGATTCTGGGTTTTGACCTAGGTCATACCTTATACTCTGTGTGTATTTCCTGATTCTGTCAAATAGACATGTTGTCCTACATTTTCCACAGCTTTCCATGAGTGCTGCCTGATATCATGGAAACACATTAGAAGGTCTCGGCTACCAGTAAATAGACTTGCCCTTCTAATAGATGCTTGGGCTCCTTTCCTTGTGGTTTTAACCCCTGGTTTTCTATTTCATTGGATTTATCAGCTAAACTCAGAGTCTAGAGCAACAGGGATTGAAATTTTTGTATGTGTACTTACGTAAGAAGATACCATCTTCATCAGAGGTTTTGGTTTGATGAGTCTTGTGGGTTGTTTACAGTCTGTCTTGGGCTTTAAGGAAGTCACCTGTTTGCTGGAGTGAAGTCTGGCAGCTTGAGGGCTTGTTATGGCCACATCCCCATTCTGGTTAAAGCTAACAAATCTACAGACTCATTTTGAGCAAATCTGCCTATGTCAGTTAACTCTTGCTATGTGACAAAGGACCCCTAAATCTCAGTGGTATTTATTGAGCCCATACATCAGTTGGTTCACTAGAGGTTAGCTGATCTAGGGTGGGCCCATAGGGGTGATCCAGCTGAAACACTTATGTATACCCTATACGTCTCTCATTCTTTTCTGGCCCAGAAAGCTGGTACAGGCCTGTTTTTCCTTTGGCAATGGCAGAAATGCACAAAGATAAGAAGAAACACACAAGTCCTCTTCACTGAGACTCTGGCATGTGTCATTCTTTTGGCCAAAATAAGTCACGTGACCAAGCACAAAATTTAATCAAATAATGAGAAAATATATTCTGCCTCTTCAGCAGGAGGAATGCAAAGTCCCATGGCAAATGGCACAGATACAGAATGAGTAAATAACTCCATTAATGCAAATTACCACACTGCCACAGCTTCTCCTTGCTGTGAACCACAGAATCACACTCCTTCATACCATTGACTGAGTCAGGAATCAGCATCTGATCCAACAGCAACCTTCTACTGTGGCTATCAACTTATGAGGTAGCCCAATACAAGAGTTCTGTCCAGTAAGAGAACTTGGTTTCCACCTAGGTGCTTAGAATAACCATACTATGGAAGTGCAAAGCTGTTGGCAAATATGGCTTCTACCAGTGGATGCAGAAGCAAAGGGAATTAATATGTACCTTTCCTGGAGTGGTAAGAAACTGTATTTCTTAACTCTGTCTCTTTGCTAGGAAGCTTCCTGTCTAATTACTGTGAGGCAGGAAGTGGCCAAAAGTCAGCTTATATTAATCTCTACCCTGAGACATATCTTTGTGTAAAGACCCACTCAGTGGTGAGAAAAAAACTGCTCCTGGCCTCACCTCCAGAACCAGAAAATTAGTGCTAATCAGACTAATTAAATGCTATGAGCGTTTTTGGGCTCCCAGTCAGATTTTTTAAAGTTATATTAAAAAATGGGTAAAGATAAGGCCTGCTTGTAGTTATTATCCAGGCCAATACTTTTATATTAGATTCTCTCCTCCCTACTCTTTTAAGTTAGATTATTGTTGATCATTCAGGACATGGTGCCAATCCTTCCTTGACATGGAGTCTCATTAGGTTATCAATTCCACATCAAATACTTTGTTCTTTGATCTCCCAGAGAATTTACTAGCTACATGCTTACTGCAATTTTTGTGTTGGTTATGGGACCCTGCCACACACTAACACACAGCACTGTGGAAGGGGCATCCCAAGGGAGTTGTGTCCTTCATCAGAGATCACACTCCCCCATCCCCAATTCTAAGAAACACCCCTGGCCACAGATAAGGAAGTCAGGAACAGTCACCTGACACAACACCAGCTAATTCACCCATTAGCCAGTGGCTGGGTGAGAAAGCTCAGCCTAAATGAGATTTGAATAATTAGCTATGTCAAACAGATTTAGTCTCAGAAATTTGAACTTGAGCTCTAGAACAGGAGTAAGGGGTAGAAGACAGAGAGAAAAGTAACCTCAGAGAGTAGCCACAGTATGTCAATGGTAGACCACTGGTGCAGGGATCCTTCAAGCTCCCTTGAATCCAGAACAAGACTCCAGCTCCTATCTTCCTATTCATGTGTGGCATGAACTTTTACCCTGGAGCTCCATGACATCCCATCTCTCTTATCGCTAAATGAATTCTAATAAAAACCCCCAGTAAGTCCATGGCTGGAAATTAAAATAACTAACAAAACAGCCATTGATTACATGCTCTATTGTGTCTTTTGTTGCATGTTGTATGCCTGTCTTCCTATCTAGTGAGACTATTAGCTCCTTAACAGCAGAAATATCTATCTTCTCCAGGAAGCTAACACAGACATCTAACACATTGAGATCCTCAGGAAGAACATAAATTGGATTGACAGCAGTCCCAAAATTCTCTCTAAAATCAATTTTAAAATTATACCAAAATGTATTTGTTATGTGCTATTTTCAAAAATTACAGCTGAATTCTTTCTTTCAGGTGTGGGATGTCCTACAAGATGGCTTCCTTGACAGCAGAAAGAACAGAATAGTTTAACTAATCTATTATTTTCTCCAGCATTTGACTTACCTCCACTAGAGCAGAGACTAGGCCAGTAACTTCCTTAGACCACTTCTACGTGTTCACAACACCAAATATCTGCTGGCAAAACTTTTCATCCCTCAGTTCTTTGCAAAAATAAAAATCATACCTGGAGGTGAAATGAAAAACAACAACAACAAAAAAGCCTACAAAGAGTCATTGTGAGAAATGAGGGTTAGCCAGAAAATATTGGGCAAGCATATTGTCAGTTGTATGAACTCCCCTCCACTAGCCACACCCACTCTGGGAAGCTGAAGCAGAAGAGGTGGGATATTATCTCTCAGCCTTCATCTGCACACTGCATTCTGCCAGCACACTAGAGGCTTGTTATAGGTAAGTATACAGAGTAACTCTACAAGGCTTAAATTTTTCTCAAGTCTATGCTATTTTGACATTTCAAGGTATTAATCTTTAATAGAAAAGATAAATCAAAGGCAGGTTACCTCGGAAGTATTTTATTTAGCAATATTCTTAAATTACATCTTACAACTTTGATCCTTCTCTTTAAGTCTATACTTGAATCTGAAACTGAATTTAAAAGTTTTACAACTTTTAAAATTCAACTTTAACTTAAAAAATATTCAATACAGAAACAAGAAAGGCAACAATATATTTTAAAAATGTATTCAGGATCAAAATACTTGCTATTTTTTCTAATTAAAAATTTTGCCTAATTATTCTTCCTAATCTCAGAGACTCTCCTGCGTGTCCTTTCTTATTAGATTGAAGTCCATATATCAGTCACCACTGCCTTTCTGTCCTTTGAAAGCCATGCTAAATCTTACATCTTATGAAACAATTGAGAGAAACTTTTTCTACCAATTTCTTTCAAAACATGATTTATTCTCTTGTACCTTTCATTTCCAGAAAAACAGATACTGTTTCATTCTAAGAAATGCTACTTCTAGAAATATCCAATTTTCCCTTCCATTAGAAAATATTATCTAATCATTTCATATTCTAAATAAAAATTCAGCTGTTACTGTTCAAGAATTCTGAAATGTAATTTTTCTAGTCTCTGTGTCCATGGCAGTAGACAAGATTTATTTTCACCAAGGATATAACATAGGGCAAGTGCAGACGTGTTCTACAAGCATATTATCACACACAAATATTGTTTGGCTTGATCCCAATACTACTTTCTGCCTATGGAGACTCACTCACCCTACTTTTAGTTCAATTGGACCTAGATGAGCTTGAGGCTTGAATCAACCAGTGGGAACTTCCCCAATGGGAAGCACCTCCAGGACTTTTGCTGAAACAATAGAGAAATATGCATTCTATCTTTCTGGGATCATGAGTATTACATTATCCAGTATCCACCTCACTTGTCACTCATTATATGGCAGCCATTTTACTTTAGTAGAACAGACACAACCCTCAAGTCCAGAGGTGGCTTATCCTGTTTAGTATAAGCCAATCCGTCAAGAGAGCTCTTATCCCTCTTTCCCTAGATATTGAGTCCAGGATGGGCAATGACCTAAATTGGTCCCCACAGAATGAAATACAGGACTTCTGTCAATAACTGAGGGGAAAGATTTGTTTCTTGGTCTGATTGATGTAGTGTGCATCTGTGAGGACTAGAACCATTACAGCTACAGCTGACACATAAAGAAGAGCTAAGAGAATCCCAGAGAGTTTGATCAAACCACATCCAAAGCTTCACTACATCTGGATTTTTAGCTGTTATGTGAACCAATACATTTATTATTTAAAGAGTTTGTGATGAAGATCATGTAATATATGCCTAAAGTTTTCATTAACATCTTTGCCATTACATGGCGAGTGCTCACCGGAGAATAAAGTCGAAGTGAAGCAAAGCAGCACTGGGAAAGAAAGCAGGATAGATTGATTGCTGGTGACATCACTGGAGGTCCCTTCTTCACTGTAAATTAATGCAGTATCCTTTCTTATTTAAATTAATCTGAGTTGGGTTTCTTCTACTTGCAAATGTGGAGTCCTGACTAATTCAATAGTGTTTCTGGTTTGTACAATTTAGTGGCTCTGAAATGATTATCTGATTATTTTCTCAGTAAAAGGGGACCACCATGGGAACTAGATTTGAAAATAAAACAAAGAAATAAATATAATGGTCGTTCAGAACTAAATTGAGTGTAATATAGCCACTAGTCAGAAAAACTAAATTTATTATTCAGCCCAAATCACCAATTCACTACTTTAAATGATAGTATTGACTAAAAAAATAGAGAAAGTTTGAAAATGGCTTAAATAAATTAATTCTGTCACCCTTAATACCTAGTTAATGCCTATTCTATATGCTTCCATAGGATGATTATTATTTGTACTACATTGCAGGCTTCAAAGGAGGCTTGAGGCTTCCTCTTTCACCAAAACCATGAAATGAAGAAAGATTATGTAGATCAAGGTTAAAAGCATTGCTGGGTTCCAATGTTAAGGGCTAAAACTTCCAATATGGCAAAGGGGTTTGGCATCCCTGTGGCTTCATTTTTTACCTTGTTGTTATTGTTTTAAGAAATCTCCTCTCTTTGCTTTCTTCATGGGAGGATCCTACTTTAGGCTTTTCTTTTCTTCCATGCATCTATTATTGTTACAGGAACTTTAGCTCCTGTTTTCTTAAGAGTTTTCTTACCCTCTCCATACCTCCCTTGGCCTCTGCTGCTGCCACTCTCAGGCCCTAACGAATGGGCAGCACATTGTATCAAGGGAGTCAGACAAGCAGACCACAGTGTGATGATTAAAACTGAAATTGAAACAGAGATTAGCTATATTAGGTGATATTTCAACTAGCCTATGAAAACTAATCTCATGAGTCAATTCCATTCCACAATAAAGGATACCTCTACCATAATCTAAATGTCAGTCATAGTAAATTATTTGACATTACTCAAATTCTCTATGCTTTTAATCTCTCTAAGCCTCAGTTTCTCATTTGCATTAATGGAGACAGTAATTGTATCTAACTCATAAAGTAATTGTAAGAATTAATCATATATGTAGAACCTAGGCACTGAGTAAGCATTCAATAAATGTTAGGTATTAAAACATACCTCCATCATGGCCCTTATTAGACTATAATAATCACATTTCTTTCAGTAGACCATGTGATCCAAAAGGGCGAGCACCCTGACTAATTTGTCATTATACACTAAATATTTAGTGAAATTAAGAAATTCCCGGTCAGGCACGGTGGCTCATGCCTGTAATCCCAGCACTTTGGGAGGCCAAGGTGGGCAGATCACGAGGTCAGGAGATCGAGACCATCCTGGCCAACGTGTTGAAACCCTGTCTCTACTAAAAATACAAAAATTAGCTGGGTGTGGTGATGCATACCTGTAATCCCAGCTACTCCGGAGGCTTAGGCAGGACAGTCACTTGAACCCAGGAGGTGGAGGTTGCAGTGAGCTGAGATAGTGCCACTGCACTCCAGCCTGGCGACACAGCAAGACTCCATCTCAAAAAAAAAAAAAAAAAAAAAAAGAAGTTCCCAGAAAATATTTGTTCACTACATAAATAACTTAAGGTTACAGTTCAGACTTCTATTGGCCATAAGGTAGAATAGAAAAAAGACTTTTTTGAAAAAATATTTATACCATATAAAAATCATACTTGTCATCTTATATAAATGCAAATAATAATGTATTGAAGTGAAAATTTTAAGATATGTGCTCTGCATTCTCACCAAATCAAAGTGTTATATTACATTATAGTATAAACAAAAAAGCAAGCACCCATCCACTATGTATACATCAAAGTAAATCAAGGTGCTGATAACGAGAATCAGCAATTGGGTCTCTGGTCTTTCATCACTTTCCTTTGGTCTTCTATCTCTACGGAGGAAATCAAATTTACTTCTGGCATATGTATGTTCTAGATCTCTTACACCAGTAGTCCCCAACATTTTTGGCACCAGGGACCAGTTTTGTGGAAGACAGTTTTTTCATGGACAGGGAGAGGGGTGGGAGGATGGTTCCAGGATGAAGCTGTTCCACCTCAGATCATCAGGCATTAGATTTTTCATAAGGAGCAGGCAACCTTGATCTCTTGCATGTGCAGTTCACAATAGGGTTCATGCTTCTATGAGAATCTAAGGTTGCTGCTAATCTGAAAGAAGGTGGAGCTCAGAGATAATGCGCAATCACCCACTGTTCACCTCCTGCTTGTGCAGCCCAGTTCCTAACAGGTCATGGACCAGTACCAGTCCTCAGCCCAGGGGTTGGGGACCCTTTCACACTGCAGTGAAGAAATACCCAAGACTAGGTAATTTATAAAGAAGACAGGTTTAATTGACTCCACATGGCTGGGAAGGCCTCAAGAAACTTACAATCGTGGTGGAAGGCACCTCTTCACAGGGCAGCAAGAGAGAGAAGTGCCAAGTGAAGGGGGAAGAGCCTATTATAAAACCATCAGATCTTGTGAAAACTCATTCAGTATCATGAGAACAGCATGGCAGTAACCGCACACCCCCCCACCCATGATTCAATTACCTCCCACTGGATCACTCCCATGACACACGGGGATTATGGGAACTATAATTCTAGATAAGATTTGGGTGGGGACGCAGCCAAACCATATCATTCCACCCCTGGCTCCTCCCAAATCTGACATCCTCACATTTCAAAATACAATCATGCTTTTCCAACAGTCCCCACAAAGTCTTAGCTTATTCCAGTATTAACCAAAAAATTCAAGTCCAAAGTCTCATCTGAGACAAGGTAAGTCCCTTCTGCCTACGAGCCTGGAAAATTGAAAGCAAGTTAGTTACTTCCTACATAGAGTGAGGGTATAGGCATTGAGTAAATACACCTGTTCCAAATGGGAGAAATTGGCCAAAACAAAGGGGCTACAGGCCCTATGCAAGTCAGAAATCCAATAGGGCAGTCATTAAACCTTAAAGTTTTAAAATGATCTCCTTTCACTCCATGTCTCACATCCAGATGATGCTGATGCAAGAGGTGGTCTCCCATGGCCTTGGGCAACTCTGCCCCTGTGGCTTTGCAGGGTACAGCCCTCCTCCGGGCTGCTTTTACAGGCTGGCATTGAGTGTCTGTGGCTTTTCCAGGCATGTGGGGCAATCTGTCAGTGGATCTACTACTCTGGGGTCTGAAGGACGGTAGCCCTCTTCTCACAGCTCCACTAGGCAGTGCCCCAGTGGGGACTCTGTGTGGTGGCTCCCACCCTACATTTCCCTCTGCACTGCCCTAGCAGAGGTTCTCCATGAAGGCTCCACCCCTGCAGCATACCTCTGCCTGGACATCCAGGTATTTCCATGCATCCTCTGAAATCTAGGTGGAGGTTCCCCATCCTAATTCTTGACTTCTGTGCACCTGTGGGCCCAACACCATGTGTAAGCTGCCAAGGCTTGAGGCTTGCACCCTCTGAAGCAATGGCCTGAGGTATACCTTGGTCCCTTATAGCCACAGATGGAGCTGAAGCAGCTGGGATGCAGGGCACCATGTCTGGAGGCTGCACAGAGCAGGGGGACTCTGGGCCTGGCCCAGGAAGCCATATTTCTCTCCTAGGTTTCCAGGCCTGTCATGGAAGGGGCTACGCAAAGGTCTCAGACTTGCCCTGGAGACATTTTCCCCATTGTCTCGGTGATTAACATTGAGATCCTCATTGCTTATGGAAATTTATGCAGCCAGCTTGAATTTCTCACCAGAAAGTGAGTTTTTCTTTTCTATCACATCATCAAGCTGCAAATTTTCCAAACTTTTATGGTCTGCTTCCTCTTGAACACTTTGCCACTTGGAAATTTCTTCTGCCAAATACCCTAAATCATCTCTCTCAAGTTCAAAGTTCCACAGATCTCTAGGGTGGGGGCAAAAGGCCACCAGTCTCTTTGCTAAAGCATAGCAAGAGTCACCTTCCTCCAGTTCCCAACAAGTTCCTCATCTCCATCTGAGACCACCTTAGACTGGACTTCATTGTCTGGATCACTATCAGCATTTTGGTTAAAGCCATTTAACAAGTCTCTAGGAAATTCCAAACCTTCCCACATCTTCTTGTCTTCTGAACCCTCTAAGTCTCTAGGAAGTTCCAAACTTTCCCACATTTTCCTGTCTTCTGAGCCCTCCAAACTGTTCCAACCTCTGCCCGTTACCCAGTTTCAAAGTCACTTCCACATTTTTGGGTATCTTTATAGCAGCACCCCATTACCTCGGTACAAATTTACTGTATTCATTCATTTTCATGCTGCTCATAAAGACATACCTGTGACTGGGGAATTTATAAAGGAAAGAGGTTGACACACAGTTCCATGTGGCTAGGGAGGCCTGAGGTAACTCAGAATCATGGCAAAAGGCACCTCTTCACAGGGCAGCGGAGGAGTGAAGTGCCAACCAAAGGGGGGAAGAGCCCCTTATAAAACCAACAGATCTCATGAGAACTCACTATCACAAGAACAGCATGGGGATAACCAGCCCAATGATTCAATTACCTCCCACTGGGTCCCTCCCATGACATAATGGGTTTATGGGAACTAAAATTCAAGATGAGATTTAGGAGCAGACAGTCAAACCATATCACCTGTCTTACGCTACTGATGGGGGGGACACTAAAATGTCTGAGGATTGAAAAGAAGTAGAAGAGGCAGGAAGGGCTCTGATTATTTATATACTCCTGAATCTGTTTTTTGTAAGGAACCACTCCTTTGCTTGTCCCTCAGATCAAAATCATCCCAATTTCCTAAAAATATAACTCTCAGAAGCTTTTGAACCAGAGCAGCTCCATCTTGAATCAGGGCTGGGTACAATGAAGCTGAGACGGGCTGGGCTGCATTTCCAGCAGGTTAGGCATTCTTAGTCACAGGATGAGATAGAAGGCCGGCACATGATACAGGTCACAAAGACCGCATTGATAAAACAGGATGCAGTAAAGAAGCCAGCCAAAACCTGCCAAATCCCAGATGATAATGAAAGTGACCTCCGGTCATCCTCACTGCTCATTATGTTAATTATAATGTATTAGCATGCTAAAAGACACTCTGGCCAGCACTATGACACTTTACAAATGTCATGGTAATGTCTGAAAGATATCATATATGTTCTAACCCTCAGTTCCAGGAAATCCCTGCCCCTTTCCTGGGAAACTCATAAATAATCCACCCCTTGTTTAGCATATAATAAAGAAATAACCATAAAAATGGCCACCAGTAGCCCCTGGGGGATATTCTATGAAGCAGCAGCCCTTCTTTTATTCCTTTATTTTCTTAATACACTTGCTTTCACTTTATTCTGTGAACGCACCTGAATTCTTTCTTGCATAAAATCCAATAACCCTCTTTCGAGTCTGGATCAGGACACCTTTCTAGTAAAATAACCAGTACAAGTGCTTACTTCTCACATACTTTCTTACTTACATACTTACTACTTCTTATATACTTTCAGTAATATTAGTTTTTCAATAAAATCCTTGGACATTTTTAAAACTCTGGGCTCCAAAACCAGTCTTCCGACTTATAATTCATCAGTACTGGCCAAAATAACAAACGTGTATGGATCCAGTGAATATTTTCCATTCAAAATGACAGCGCTGCAGCCTCACAATTTTGAATATTATTTGCAAAGAGTATAATCTATGAAAGCTTGGAGGAAATAGTAAAATTAGAAGGCAAGGGAAATATTTTTCATGGTGACCTTGTTTTAAAACTGGAAGGATACCTTTTTTCAATTTTGGGGGGTTTATGATCTCTCTAAATATGCCAATAAAACCAAGTTAAACATAATATACTTGTATATTCTTAAACCAACAAATTTATTGTATACCTGCAAAAGGTGTTATAAATAGTCATCATATATATTTTCTCAAAATGTCGAATCCTCAAACTTAAAAGTTTATTATTATTTTCCTTTGTAGCTTCAGTATTTTCCAAAGATTTTTATGAGGATGGTTATTTAAATTTGGATCTCAGGAAGGCAACCTGTTTTGAAACTTTCAGTGTCCTTGGCATTTAGAATATCATTCACCCAGGGGCATTTCACAAACCTGGAAACACTGAAATTCTAAGATGTTGAAAAAACACTGGAGTTACTAAAAGAGATTTTAAACAAATCTTCTCTGGAGATTTAACACAGAGCAGGTTAATTTTCTGCACACATCATCTTGGGTATACAGTTTGCAAAAAGGAACTAGTCTCTTAAATTTCCTTTATGTTTTCCCCTACCAGGTGGTGATGTTTAGTATTTCTTTAACTAGAGGCATGATCTGCTTTTGACATGGGTTGGAAAGTTAGTGACCTCTGTCATAATGTAGATCCACATTCTTAAAAACAAAACAAGTTAGCAAAGGTCTTTTTGCTCCTTTCTGTCAATTACAAATAGACAAAAATAAATAAATCAATAAAATAGCTCTTTGTTAGAGAAAGGGCTTACTGCAGGGAGACAAAGAAGGACCTTGGTGGAGTTCATTGCTTTTCCTCTAACCCTAGCTTCCTGGCTGAAATTTTTGACGAGAATTTTCCATTCATGTGTGAGAAATATGTAATAAATCTTTGATAAATGGAGCTCTTTCCACGCTGAAACTTGTAGCATGACTTTGAAAAATTGTGGCCTGCTTTCTTAAAAGCATATAGTAATGTACAAATACTATTTGCCATCCCTGCTTCATCCACACCAACCCTCAAAGACGTACACATTAAGAAAAAGTCCAGAAATCCTTCAGTTACAGAAATTCAGTAGTTCAGTCCTTGGGTTATAGAATTGCAATATAAGAAAGATATACCCAAGGATTGTTGTTAAGACGTAGGGACTTGTGTCTAGAAAATTAAGTCCAATTTAAAAAATGATGGCCCGGTATTCCTTGGGCTTTTTGAGAGTGTAATAATAAGAGTGGTAACAGGCCTTCCGTGGTACGCTGAATAATAGCCCTCTCCCTCAAAAGATGTCAACATTTGAATCCTTGGAACCTGTGAATGTGTTACATGCTAAAAGGGACTGTGCAGATGTGAATAAGTTAAGGATCTTGAAATGGGGAAAATATCCTGGATTATCCAGGCGGGCCTAATGTAATCACAAGGATCTTCATAACAGAGAAGCAGGAGCGTTAGAGTCAAAGAAATTGATGAACTAACACACCAGACAGATAAGCGCTTTTCCTGGGTAAGCTGAATTTTTCAACTACTTTTTTCCCTGGGGGAGTATCTGTTGAGTCTGTGCAGGGACTGAGGGTAAGGCTTGCCATAAACAGAGGGACTCCAATAGCATAAAGAGGAACAAGTGAAACTTTTGATGCTTGTGTGATCTGGAACAAAGGCTCAAATTCATAAGTGGCAAGAGTAGAAGGACCACTCAGCTGAACCTAGCCCAAACTACTAACTTGGATAATCAGGAACATATAAAATGGCTGTTGTTTTGGAGTGGTTTGGAGTGCAGCAATAGATAAGGTACAAAATTTGAAAATTCCCCAAATGTAGGAATAGGATTCAGATGCATGTAGCTAAAACATCAAAAGCCAAACAACACAAAATTGTTGCAAATACAATTATATAAACAAGTACAAAAATAAAATAATCTGCTCACAAGGAAATATAGTACTGTTATAGACACCAATTATGGTCACTTTTTAAAAAGTGATTTATAACTAAAATAACTATGCAGATTTTATATAAATAAATTTGACAATCTAGAAAAAAAGGAATATGTTTCTAAGAAAAATTAAATGATTAAAAGGACTCAGAAAGAGATTGAAAATTACGGTGACCAAAAACTATAGAATTAAGAAGACAAGATGTATCTTAAAAAAAAAAAAAAAAAAAAAAAAAAAGAAGAAAGCCCATTGGCCAAGATGGTTTTACAGATGAGCTTTATCAGCTCGAGAGCACTGTACATGACAAAATTCTCCTGACTAATTCTATGAAGCTAGCCTAATACAAATCCCAAAATTGGATGAAGATTGCACAGGTCCATCCCACTTAGGAACTCAATCTCACTTATAAAGTCAGCAAATTCCAAAATAAAAATATTAGTAAATTAAACACATACTCATTAAAATAGTAATAAAACTAAAGAGTTTTATCTAGGAATGGAAGGATGGTTCATCAGTAAATCTATCATTATAATTCAGTCTATTAACAGAATAAATAATAATTATGTTTATTTTATACATTTAGAAAAAGTATTTGATAAAATTTAATATTCATTGGTAATTTTTAAAATACAATGCAAGCTGTGAATATATAGAAACTTTTAATCAAATTTTCAGCCAAAAACTACTTAGAGATGTGATATCAAAAATTCAGAAATAAGACAAAGATGCATACTCCCATAAATACTAGTCAATACTCTGCAGTTCTGGCCAACTGTATTAGTCCGTTTCCATGCTGCTGATAAAGACATACCCAAGACTCTGCAATTTACCAAAGAAAAAGGTTTAATGAGACTTACAGTTCCACATGGCTGGGGAGGCCTCACAATCATGGTGGAAGGCAAGGAGGAGTAAGTAACATCTTACATGGATGGCTGTAGGCAAAGAGAGAGCTTGTGCAGAGAAACTCCCATTTTTGACACCATTGGATCTTGTGAGACCCATTCACTATCATGAGAACAGCAGGGAAAAGACCCACCCCAATGATTCAATCATCTCCCACCGGCTACCTCCCATAACACGTGTGAAGTATGGGAGTTACCAGATGAGATTGGAGTGGGGACAGACAGCCAAACCATATCACCAACAAAATAAGAAAAAAAACAATAGGTAACAAACACTGAAAAGAGAGAAAAAAACTATCACCATTAGGAGACAAAATGGATGTCAACAACCAAGAGAATCAACTAATAAATGATAAGTAATAAAAGTTCATAAAGATGTATGGATACAAAATTTTTATGTAAAAATAAGTTTTCTCACACAGGAGCAGTAAGAGAAAATGTAATGGAAAAAATCTCCTTTTTACAATTGTGTAAAAAAAAACTGTAAAACATTTATAATGATTTTGAAACACTGTACATCTACGTAAATAAAACTGTACAATTATTTATAGACATCAACTAAGACTTACAAATGTCAAATTCCAAGTGATACAAACCCAATTCAAACAATCCTAACCAACTGAAAGAAATGTCATTGGCTTGTGGTAATAGGAATTACAGGGGTTACAGCTGGTCTTAGGCACAGCTGGGTCTTAAGAAAGTCCCTGGGCCTTTGTTATGCTGGACATTTGTTTTATTTATCCTGTGCTCCTTTCACGGACTGCTCCTCCCCAAATCCACTTATGTAATTCCAGTAGAACTACTAATTACAGTTCCTACCTTCTATTTACAGATTGAACACATAATCTAGTTCCTAAAGTACCTAAAATTGATTTGTGTATGCTGTATAAACTAAAGATCCAAGTTCTTTGTTCTTCCATTTCCCCAATACCACGTATTGAATAGTCTCTTTTCTCCCAGTAATCTGTGTTGCCAATCTGTAACATAACCAAACTGACATTTATGCATGAACTGATTTCTGGGTTCTGTTCTGTTTCCATGTTCCGTTCATCTAATCAGTATACCTCACCATTAATAAATTTCATCTTTTCTTTTTCCTTTTCTCCTATTTTCCTTTCTATAACATCTCATTCTTCAGTCAATTCCATTATATTCTCATTATGTGAGTGAGGGTTTGTTTGAAACCGATCTTGGTTCTGATGTGAATTTCCCATGTAAATCAATGGCTTGGTGTAGAAGAGAAAACTGAATGGAAATGAAAATGTGGGTGTACAGAAAACCAGGAAAACATAAGCCCCTGCAAATCCAGTGAAATAAGGGCCTCAGATTTCTACCATAATGTGGATTTGGAGGTTAAAGGCAAATTTTATATAAGTTTCCAGGTGCAGAATAACTTGTCTCACATCTGAATTACACAAGGATTTATAGAAACCTCTTTTAAGTTGCTTTGGATGTAAATTGTCTAATTTTAATTTTTTGCACATTTTTCTGACAAATTTTGAGGTCTAATTCAATTTTCTTTCATTACGAAAAGACTTTTTCCTTTAATATTGTTTTATTGGCTGTTATCTGCTCAGGTTATTAATGAGCTCATGTATAGAAAAGTAGTACCTGTCTTTAGGCAAATGGCAAAAATATGAAGTGACATGTATTTCATATGTGGTTGTGTGTGTGTATGGATGGAAAATTCTCTAACAGATACTGAAAAAAAAATCTCAAAAGTTACTGCTTCCCTGATTTTGTACTTCCACTCTTCAAGGTGTACTATTTATTCTATTATTCTTTCCATTTGGCTAGTGTATATATATATATGTGTGTGTGTGTGTATATATATATATACATATACACACACTACATATGTATACATGTATACATATGTAGTGTGTATATGTATATATATATATACACACACACACACACATATATATGTCTCATTAGCGCCCTTATTAAAATCTAAGTCCCTGGGGAGCAAGACTTGATTTGATTAACTTTTGAATTCAGTATAGTGATCAGTTCAGGGTGTTACAAATATTTTCAGCTGCTTAAGAGTTAGGCATTCTTTGCTATGTATTCCTGTGCTGTATATGCCATATGTGTATGCAGCATAATTCATCCCTTTATTTCTCTCTTCCAAGACACAGTCAAGTCTTTGGAGAAAAATGCCAATTCTTCTGCTTAGTTGCTAAGTTCCTGGCATCTTAAATGTCCAATAATTATAGTTAGTATGAAGATACACACTTAGTACTTGTTGAATGAGTAAATAGTATAGTGGAAAGAGGCAGACAGACTTGAGTTTGAAAACAAGCTCTGCTACTTGTGACGCTGGATAAAGTATTCGAAGTCTGTGTCCTCATTAGTAACGTAAGTAGATTACATTTGCTACTAGTTTGGCCTCTTCTGGAGCCTTGGGAACTGTAAACTATAATCTGTGAAGGCAATAGGTAGACTAATGGACTAAAAGAAGTATAAAAGTCTTAAAATTCTTCTCTAAGCAGTCACTTGTATTTTCATTTTTTATCAATCTTGCCTTCTTCATCATCTTCCCTTCCGTGTTTTTGAGACGGAGTCTCGCTCTGTCGCCAGGCTGGAGGCAGTGGTGCAATCTGGGCTCACTGCAACCTCCAGCTCCCGGGTTCAAGAGATCCTCCCGCTTCAGCCTACCGAGTAGCTGGGACTACAGGCGCGCGCCACCACACCCAGCTGTTTTTTTGTATTATCTTCCCTTCCTTTCTTACCACATCTTGCTTATTTTATTCTTTTTCTCAATTCTGCTATTTGCTAACCAAGAAAACATCTCTCTTGATCCTTGACATAATTATGGAATTCTTGGTACATCTTTTGGGGTGTTTGTATCTGAGTGTGATCAAGGTATGTAGATGTGTAATGTAAATATGAAAATTGAGGGATTTCTTAGAGGCAGAAAGATTCTAATTCCAGTTTCTAATATCACACGAACAGGACATAACTACTACCTTAAATAGGGGCAGTAATACCTAGGGCTTCACCTTATCATTATTATTTGAATTAGAATATCTTGCATTGCTTTCCTAGTGTGCCCTATCATAATCTTAACTCTCATGCCAATAGGTTGAATAATACCTTTAAAATTTTGTTGAAAACAACAAGTTTTAAGAATGACTTGGAAGGAGTGGTCATTGCTCCTTGGAGAAGTTATAGGAGTAACTGTGTGAACGCCAATGTTAAATTTTACTGATTTTTCTCATGCGCTGCTGATTGTTCTGTATGGAATACTTATTATTCTTACTAAATCACTTTTTTTCTTTTTCATTTTTTTCTTTTTTTGTGAGACAGGGTCTTGCTCTGTCACCAGGCTGGAGTACAGTGGTGCGATCTCGCCTCACTGCAAGCTCTGCCTCGAGTTCCAGCGATTTTTCCTGCCTCAGTCTCCCTAGTGGCTAGGATTACGGGTGTGCGCCACCACATCCGGCTAATTTTTGTATTTTTTAGTAGAGACGGGGTTTCACCAGGTTGGCCACGCTACTCTCAAATTCCTGACCTCAAGTGTTCCGCCTGTCTTGGCCTCCTAAAGTGTTGGGATTACAGGTGTGAGCAGCTGCACCCAGTCAATATCACTTTTTAGCTAAGATTTATATATAAGTTTAAAAGTGTTTTGGCTTCCAAACTCACTAGCAATTCCCAGACTTCAAAATTGACACCACACACAGTAATTTTCTGGATTCTCAAAGCCTCATACATATAATCCTCACAAGATAGCTTTAATAGTATTAATGAGGTCAAGGCCCTTACTTTTTTTTTTTTCACCAGGGCCAATTTATTTTGCTTAGTTTCTGTCAAAGACCTCTAACCAGGCATCTTATGTGAAAGCATGCTGTACGTTCCAAAGAAGCCTGGGTTAAAATCCAGATGACTTAAGTCTATTGGAAATTATACATCAAATCCATGTCCTAGAAACAATGTCATTTTCAAATCCCAAGTACAGTGTATTCTTTGCATGCATGGTATTTTTGATAAAGTCTCTTATTTTGTGACAAAATATTGCTATATCAGCTGCCTAAAAAAGTGCAACTTAGTTTGGCAGTAATTATTTTTTTTTCTTTGTATAGTGAAAAGCGATTTCCCCAACCCTCCCATCTTGGCCCTTGTAAGAAATCCTTTTTAGGAATCTATCCTGGGCTTCCTGCTGGACTTCAGCCTCATTTTTTTCTCCAATGCCTGAGTACTGGACCAATATTTGGTAAGAATTTGGCTCTGGGGAGTGCTATGTTGAATGACAAATGGTTGAGGACGAAGATTTTATTGAAGCATTTGAACCACACTTAATTTTCCGTGTTGCTTTATTTGTTCCTTTTACCACCCAGGATATTGAATTCTGTGGGCTCTGGTTGAGTCGTTGGTACTTCAGGCGTTCAGTAATAAGAAACATAATCTGCTTTTTCCGGCAGGATAATAAATCTCATTTATATTAAGGGAGGCTTACTCCAAACTCTTTTACATAGTATTTTTCTAAATCTTCTGCATGAACAAATTCTTCCTTGAGCCCTAGCACTGGGGACCCGGTCTGGCAACCTGCGCCCCATTCCGCGGGAATCAAGCGTGACCCGGTGCGGCCTTGCGCGCTGCCGCCAGCCAGACCCTCCCTCCGGCTTTCCCACCCACCGCCCGGGATCCAGCCTCCATCCCGCTGCCTCAGCTGTCCAAGACAGCGACACCCCCCTCTCCGCTCCCGCGGCTCCCCCGGCGCAGCTCGCCGCGCCAGACAGCGGGTAACCGCCGCCTCCGCTGGGGCATCCCGGCTCCACAGGCCCAGCGCGCTCCAGACACCTGCCTCTCACTGGCCACCGCCGCTGCCCCTCACCCCGCAGCCCTCTCGGCAATTGGCCCCAGGCCGCCGCTCGTCATCCTCAGCCTTCTCCTAGAGTACCGCCTCCGTCGCCGGGTCATTTAAGTTTATCACAAATAAATAAATAAAGGAGGAAATAGAAATGCGTAGAAAGTAAAAGCAGTAGGGGGTGGGGGAGATGGGGCGTGGAGGAAAAGGAGGGAGGAGCGGAGGAGTAAGCAACCTAACCTGATTGCGCCTGTGTCGACCAATCATGGCTCACTCCAGTCCGGTCTGACGGGCTCCCTGAACCAATAGCCTTCCACCTCCCGGATCACTGAACAACGAGATACGATTGACCTTTTCAGAAAGGGTGAAGGTGCGGCGGGGGGAGGGGGTTGTGGGGGTGGGCGAAGTGGAAGGATTGTCCACCAATCGCCTGTTAATACTTCTCTGAGCGAAGTTTCCGCGTCCCAATGGATGTTTGAGATAGCGGATTGGGCCTCTTTTAGCCCAATCGAAGGTGACAGAGATGAGGGAAGAGGAAGAAAGGGGCGGGGACGGGGGGGCGGAGGGGAGAAGGAAGAGTGCATTTTGTTTATGGGCGGCAACCTCACGAGGGGCGTCCCATTCTCATTGGCTCACTGAAGCCAAGATTGGCGTGAGAGCTATCCTATAGCGGGGAGAGATAGAGGGTTCGCGGAGTGAAGCGTCCAATGTGGGCCTTCTGCCGAAGAAGTAGGGGCGGGGGGAAGTTTAGGAGTTGAGGAAAGAAGATTAAAGAGCGCGAGGAGGTAATGCCACAAACTCTAATTTGTTGTGGGACGGGCGGGAGAGAGGGAGGAGTGTGTGCGTGCCGAGGGGGATGAGGCGTCTGCGAGGCGCCTGGAGTGGGGGGCGGCGGGACTGGGAAGGAGGGGAGCGGGGTGGGGTTGGGGGAGCGAGTTACAGAGCGGCGAGCCAGCGGGCCCTGAGCTGGATGAGCGCGCGCGCCCCCGCGCCCCGCCCCGCCCCGCCCCGCCCGCGCCCCCTCCCCCGGCGCCCTTCTTAGCGCCCGGCGGCTGCCTCGCCCGACCCGGCGGGGAGGTGGGAGGGAGGCGCGGGAGGGTCGAAGGGTGGCGGGGCGGGCGGGACGTCCCGCAGCTGGAAACGTGTCTTCTGCCTTCTTCTCTCTACTCCCTGCGCCTGGAGCCGCTGCTTCCAAGAAGAGGAGCTGAGGGGGACTAGCCGGGGCTCAGGAGCTGCTAGAGGCGCCCGCTTGTCTTCTGCCCCCTCCCTCCTCGCCCTCCCCCGCTTGCCGTGGCTCTCGCGGTCTCTGGAGCGTCTTCAGAGAACTGGGGGGCAGGAGGTGTCCTGGCCCCACAGCCGCTGGATGTCTCTCCAGACGCCGGAGCTCCCGGCCCCCGCCTGCTTCGCTTCTACGACTAGAGAGGAGGGGGCTTGGGAAGGGAAGACACACCTTTCCTTCTTTCTCTTCTTTGGGCCACTTCGGAAACATTAAAACATGTTAACACTTTTTGATTCCTGATATAAAAATGGTTGGAAGGTTCTTGAAAGTTTAAAACAAATGCCGTCTCTCGTACACTGTTTAATGTATTCCTGTCTGTGTGGCTTTTGGGTCCTCCCCCCACCCCCCGCCCCCAGCTGTTATCCTTTTTAAGGATGCTGAAGAGGCAGGAGGCAGGGATTTTCTAAAAGTTCTATTGATAAACACACTTGCACAAACATATGCTAGGCACACACACAAACTAAACATTAGCGAAAAACACAATATGGCGTACAGCTACGGTACCTAGCGCGGTAATCCGCTGATCTCTCACTCCGAACTGGGTTGAATGAGGTCAGTAGCAGGATGACAGCTCTCCAATGAAAATCTGAATGAATCAGGAAGTAGTTTGGAAGCTTGCGGGTGTAGTACTGTCCTCAGAATCAGCATTGGCCAAACCTAAGTTGAACATGTTACCTTTCTAGACATGTGAAAATCTTCTCCACTGTTTTTTCTATTAAAAATACCAAAAGGGTGCTAAAGTCAAGTTTCCTCACTGCGTGGCGGTGTATACATTTCAGCTAAAAAAATTATAGAGGCCATTCACCCAATGTTTTCAAGTGAACGCTATTCTGAAGTTACTGTTGTAACTTGTTGCCATTGAAAGTTTTAAAACACAATTACCATTTTATAAATAAATAGCTGTAGACACTAAATTTAAGTGATAACCAGTCATCTTTAAATTTATAATGGTTTGTTTTCATTTCTGTTCATGCTCCCAATCCCAAGTACCCTTTGCTATTTTGTGGAAATATTTATATAGATCCCCCTCCACTCCCGGTCACATACAGTCAGCCCTTCCTGTGCCTGGGTTCTGCATCTGTGGATTTAACCAGCTGCAGATCAAAAATATTTTGGGTGTGGGGGAATAGATGGAATAGAATATATATAGTTTTTTTCTTGCCACAATTCCCTAAACAATACAGTGTAACAACGATTTATTAATACATGGCATTTACTTGTATTAGGTGTTATAAGTAACCTAGAGATGATTTAAAGTATGTGGGAGAATGTGATTAGGTTAAATGCAAATACTACACTATTTTATGTAAGGGACTTGAGCATCTGTGGATTTTGGTTTCCTAGAGAGGTCCCAGAACCAATCTCCCATGGATACTGAGGGTCAACTGTAAGTTTGTCCAGTCAAGATGTGGCTACTTTTTGCTTTTTTGCTTTAAAATGAAGAATCTGTATTTTTCTAGTGAAAGAAAAAAAATTACATTGATTTTCATGCCTTTGTTCTTTGTGATTCTTAGAATATATCAAAGTTGTTGCACACATAGTGCATGGTGATATCCCTGTGCCATCTTTCCAGTAGTCTCCCAGGAAAGCTTTTGAAATTGCCCTTGAGGAATTGCTGATGTAACTGTTCAGTACTCAAGGCTTAATTTTCAAGATTGGGGTTTTGATTTTTATGGAGCTCAATTTTGGAGGGCCTTAGGTTTGGGGACACATGGTGTTGAAGTAAACAGGTGAGAAGAAGAAAAGTGAGATTTCTAGAACTATATTAGCTGCTCAGTGAGTTGGGCAATTGGATATTTTTGGTTTTATGATTTCAGATTTTATAGACCAGTGGAATACAGGCCTTGTGCATATGAAGATCAGGTGACAAGTTTGCTGCCTACCAGCCTCCACAGCAATATGCCCTTTCACGGTGAGGTCCTAATTTTAACAAGCTAAAGAAAGTATCAGGTTAAAAATTGTCAAATTTTATCCATTTCCAGGAAGAAGTCTTTATGCTTACCCATCTAGGCCCGTGTTTTAAGATTACTACAAAACCAAGAAAATGCACATATAGGTCATGTGTACATTGACTAGCTACTAAAAGAAAATACGAGATTAAATGGAATACTAGAGGAAAGAGAAACTTTCATGTGAGGGCTATAATTGGGGAAGGGGGTGTTTAGAACTACCAGTTGATGTGATGCCAGTTTCTTCTATAATTGGATCAGAAAGTTTTTGAGGCCCGCAAACATCTAATTCCTCTTGTTGTCCTGTTAATAAGAATTTGACTACTTGGTATAGGAAGAAAATCTAAGGAAAAAATATTTTAAGCGAATCATTTTTGTTGCATTAGTGAAAGTTTTCAGAAGACTTTTTAGACAAATTGGACTTTCTAGTAAAAAGGCTAGTCTGAATAATTAGGTAAATTGGACTTTCTAGAAAAAAAGGCCAGTCTGAATAATTAGGTTGTTTTAGAAGGGCAATAAAAGCTACAGCTAAGTTCCTGCGATCTATAATTTATAAAATAATTACATATTATTTTGAATAACTTCACAGAATCAGTGGCAAGCAGAGACTTCTTCAAAAACATTTGGAATACGGAAGTAGAGATTGATGGGCTTTGCTTTAGTCTCTGAAATAATCATATTTTTCTGAAATGGATGGTTAAATTTATCATATTGTTCTAGACACTTGGAGTGTAATAATGAACAAGAGAGAAAATTGCCTGCCCTTGTGGAGCTTACATTCTAATGTCACACACACTTTGTGCATTTTAGATTGTTAGGGGAGGAGATTTTTTAATGAAACTTTAAAACCTAGCTGCTTTCTTGTCTTAGGAACTACAGTTTGAAAGAGCCTACAGAAGTTTGAGAAGGAGGAAGGTGTTTACCAGTTGGCAGTGATAGGAAAGAAAGATCTTAGTTTATTTCTTATTTGTACCTTTTGTTATTGTCATGAAACTTTCTCCATATATTTCAGTTGGTAATTTTAACAGATAGGGATTTTTTTCATGATTTTAATAATGTCTTTGAAATTAATAAAACGTTGCTTTATATTAAAAAAATCTTGTGTCTTGAAAGTTACTATAAAATTCCTACATAGTATTATCCCGTTAGCAAAGTATGGTAAAACAAAAGCTAGAATATCTGTTAATTTTTGGTTGGGATTTGTTTTTAGGAACATATCTGAAAAATCAAGTACCTAAATCTTTTTCAGTTCTGGGTTTCTTTTTCGTTTTTTGAGATGGGAATCTCCTTTTATTGCCCAGGCTGTACTTTAACTCCTGGGCTCAAGTGATCCGCCCTCCTGCCTCAGCCTCCTAGTAGCTGGGACTAAGGTGCATGCCACCATGCCTAGTTTCAGTTGTGATTTTATCAAGAGAAGGTGAAAATTTATTGTAATTAGTTTATAGGCGACATTAAAGAGGAGAGACCTGCAAAAAATGCTTTGTTATTTAAACCATTTTTTCAAAAGCATTTGATTGGCACTTTTCTGCTTTAATAGACTTATTTGTAATGCAAGAGGAACATTACAGAAGATTTTAGCAATACTTTAATCATTTAGTCTGTAGGTGTAAAAATCCTGGGTTTCTAATAGAAGGAAAGTTGGTACCTGGTTAAATGAGTATATGATTTAATGCTGAGATTGTGACTTCAAGTAGTGGGTGTCTCACCTTTCCAAAACCTAGTTCATAGTTCTCAAATAACAGTTTTTCCTTTTTAATTTTTTTTCCCATCTGTCATGGTGAGTCTTACTTTGTTAGCCAAATACAAGTTTAGTTCTTAAGTGGAATAACTTTTTTTAATACAATCCTCCCTCCTCCAGCCCTCCCATCCTGTGCCGTGGAGGGTTTGTCACGCTTATACCTACATTAGATCTCTATTTATGCTAATTTGGAACATAATCAGCCTCTTCCAGGAAGGGTACATATTAATGCACTTTAGAGCAGTTTGTGATTGCCTCTGGCTATTTGTATACGGACTTGCCAGCATCTGAAAACTATAAATAGGAAGATTTAGGAGGAAACAGACTTTATAACTAATGGAATACATTGTTTCAGTTGAATTTTTTTTTTTTTTTTTTGATGGAGTCTTGCTCTGTCGCCAGGCTGGAGTGTAGTGGCACAATCTTGGCCCGCTGCAGCCTCCCCTCCCAGATTCAAGCAATTCTCCTGCCTCAGTCTCCTGAGTAGCTGGGACTACAGGCGCGCACAGCCACGTCCTACTAATTTTTTTGTTATTTTTAGTAGAGACAGGGTTTCACCATGTTGGCCACGATGGTCTTGATCTCCTGACCTCGTGATCTGCCTGCCTTGGCCTCCCAAAGAGCTAGGATTACAGGTGTGAGCCACCGTGCCCAGCCTCAGTTGAATTTTTTTTAAAGAGCAAAATGGAAGAATGGCTAATTGAATGTTAAAAAGTAAGACCATTTCCTGTTTTCTGGTAAGGATGGTTGATCGATGTGTGTTTGCATGTGTGTGTGAGTATATATTTATAAATGAGCAGTTTTTGAATAAAGACATATCAATACTGGATAAATAATTCCAGTCCTGCCTGTGGTCCTTGACATGGAGTGTATTCAGGGTTCCCTGGTGATTTTGTTTAAGCCACTTTGTTACCAAAACTTTCCTATGGATAGCATAGAAACACAAGCTAATTAAATTTCTATAAATTTTATATTTTTGGGATGAAGTGTTATTTTGGAAGTATTTTTTTAAGCATGATTACCAGCCAACCTGTGAAATGAATGAAATCTGAAGTGCAGAGTTCATGGAACCTTATATCCACCTAAGATAGTTGAGTTTCAAGAAGGTATTTTTAACGGCAGAAGATGAAATCTTGACATCTATCAAGTTTTTATAGTAATAAAGTAAGCATGACTAAGTTTATTAATATTCATATTTGTAAGGTAAGTCTAAGCATGTGTACAGTGCATTTTAAGTCAAAATTTGGGGTGTTATTGGCTAGACACAGTCATTTCTTTGCCAGAGATACTAGGCTGTGTGAAGGCTAACCATCTGTCAAGTGATAGAGACAAAGAAAGGTTTTAATATACTAGTCTAAAATTTCCACAAACTTGTTTTGAATGGTATTGTCATTTTCTTTTGGCCTTCATACTCTGTGTTGAATATGCACTGGGTCAGTCACCCTACTTTGTTTTATGAACAAACTATTCAAGGTCCAGATGAGGTTATTGTCACAGCTGATGTGATCTAGAGGCAAGATAAAATATGTTTTGATTTTGCTTTCATATAATCAAAAACTCACAGTGGGCCACCCACTAGTAGTTACACAAATGGTTTCAAGTGTACTTGTTTTCACCCACCCATTCTGAATTTTGGGTGTCTTAATTATTTTGCTTTATGTATTCAAGCCTTGTATTTCAAACCCATTCCTGAGCTGTTTGGGGGAAGAAAAAGTAGCAACAGGAATCCAGATTGCCTGTTTTAGGTACAATATGGTGTGATGTGAAATTGAAACAGCAGATTGGTGAGAAACTTTAGTTTCAAACAAATATAAACTAGTTTGTTTAGTGAAGTCATACACAAAACAGTAGTCTCTATTGACAGGGCAATGTTTTTTTCAGTGATTCCCATATCATGAGGTCACTTTTGTTCTTTGGGCCAACAGTCTGTTTTCAAGGTGTCATATAAGAAAAGCACTAAATACTGCTGATTGTAATGATATACTTACATATGGCAGCACAAGAAATTATTTATAGCAGTGCTAATTATATCAATAAAAATAGCAATATTAATACTGTGTCAAAATCCATTCTTGACAGTATGAGGTAAACAGAACTATAGTCAAACAAAGCAGCCAGCCTGTCTTTACTGTCAGCTCACAGATATGCACTTTAAGAAAAATATACACACAGTTTAGAGAGTTGAGTGTACCAATTTAATCTCTTTTCAATTACTTTTGGCTTTTAAAAAGATGTTCTAATTCAACATAATATTAAAAAGATTTTGATTTTTAATTTTGAAACTCTTGGTACCCATTTTCTTACTGTCATTAGTAAGTTTCTAGAAATGTATTTGTATTTCACTGCTTTATAAATTATCAGAAATTCATTTTAGTGTGCCCTCATTTTGGAGCACAGATTACCATTACAAAAGGAAACTATTAATAGAACAATCTCTAACAATTTACAAAACAAAACAAAACAAAGACCCCTACCACCACCACACACACATACACACTCTCTCGCACTCACACACATTTTCAGTAAATCTCAGGCTTCCTTTAGACAAAAGAAAATGGCCTTTTCCATGGTTTTGATTTAAGATAAAGCATAAATTTTGTTTGTAGTTTTCATTACTTCTAACGAGTTTTTACAGTTTTATGCTATTTTAAATGTGTCGTCTTAGGAATATAAAATTAAGTAAGTAGAAGTAATTACATCCAAAGATTTTTAACTTGGGGACAATATCTACCTTTTCAATCTCTCATATATTAAATTCAACTCTTTGTTATACATTGTCAAAAATCTCAGATGTGAAGTTAGTAGAGGTTGTTCTAGTTCTACTGCGGCCATTAATTAGTTACATGATCTATGGCATGTTGCATAATCTATGCGGATCTCCACCTTAGCACCTTAGATTTTTCATTTTTAGGGTCATTTTCAGTTCTAATCATCTGAGTTTGTTTCCTTCAACAATTGAATTGTTATTTTAGCTTCTGGTAGTGTTACTGAAACTGATGCTTAGGACACCTAGAAACAGTATATGTAAAATACTTGACTTTGCTTTCCACTTTTAGTCTTTTATAAAAGTTTAATTTTAATGATACATGCTTTCTAACATAGCACACTAGTAAAGTATAGATATATGATATTAAGTACTTATAATCTTTCATAGTGGGTAAGTATAATAAATCTATTAGTTTACATAAATACTTTGCCAACTCATCTTAACTCAGGAAGGTGTATTGCTAATAGAATTTGTAAACTTGACTCTGCATTTCATGCAGCATAAAGTTGTTAAAATTGAGGATGCAGGTAACAACAGAATGAATCAACTCACATTTTTCTATTTCTATAAAATCTATAGATAGATACATTTATTCAAAGATAAAAGATAAATTTGGTTTTGTGATTCTCTTCTCTAAGCAAAACATAGGTATACATTGAGTAATCAGGAACCACCTCCATGCAGATCTTATAAAATTGGTAATTTTTAACTACTGCATTTAGTTTTTGATCTTATATTATATCCATGCACAGATAGATTTACATAGGAAGGAAGATAAGGTAGGCAAAGAAATCTGACTAGGAAAGAATCTGTTAGAAAAGACTTTGCAAATATTGTCCTGTTATATATTGAAAGAAACAACTATATACAATTTCTATATACCTACTTGATATATCTTTAATGATAACCTCAAAGTTCTAATTTAAAATTTTACTCTCAGTTTCTGTTTAATTGACTCATCCTTTTTGCTAGTATGAATGGTAGTGAAAGGCTTAAAGCTATCTAACATTACCTTAGATGGAAACAGCAATCTGCAGGAAGCTATACTATCCTGAATCCTCTCATTTCCTCACATCCACCCACAGCTCCAGATGTTCCTGGTACTGATCATATAATATTTTATAAATCACCTCGTAGCCAAAATATACTGTCTGTTAGATGATGGTAAGCTATTTTAGCTTACCAAACATCTAGCTAATCAGGAGAAATTGTAAGAATAATTTTAGATCAATTGTTGGACCCAAAAGGTGGTATGAATGCTTCAATGCATGCAAATAATGGAAAAGATATTCTAAATGTGCTTAAGGGAAGCTGGTTTTAGTGTTAACTGAAACCCAGTATACATATTGAAGAATCACTGTAACTCTTCTAAAGCCATGAGTACCAAAAAGACTAGCAAAATTATTAGTGGGAAGCACAGTGAAAAGTAAATGCATTCTATCCTTGTATTAAACAGGAATACTAATCACACCACCAACACCAATAGTAGCCAACATTTACTGAGATCTTACTTTGTTGCAGTCATTGGTTATATCTGCATTTTTTCAGTTAATTCCACAATCCCGTGAGACAGGTACCTTTATTATCCCAATTTTAAAGATATGCGAAGGCTCAGAAAGGGTAAGTATCTTGTTCAAAGTCACACAGCTAAGTATAAAACACATGGGAAATTAAACTCAAGTACAGCTCTGGAGAACCTAAGCTCTTAATCACCACCCCATCAGACCACTATTCTGGGACGATTTTAACTCAGTGCTTGCCCAGATTAATAATGGCAATTTTATTTCAGAAAGGCATAGATTTGGAGAAGGTTCTAGAGAAGGGTACAAGGTGAAAGAGTTGTAAGTAGGAACAATGGTTGCTGTGATAGAATCTTTTTAAAATATAACTCTTCAGTCTAGAATTAAAAATGATGATAGAGAATTTGTCTAAAGGTTGTACAATGAATAGACTCTAACTGCTGCCTGATTTAGTTCTATTTGCAACAGTGGAGCTGGGTACCATGTTAAAGCAGGCCTTGGAAATCATGGGTAGGAGCAGGACAAAGGAAGTATTACTGAAAGTTCTGGGAAGGTAGAGGTCAAAAAGGAAAACTAAATCAAACCCGACTGAATAACCAAGAACCAGGTATCATGCAGAAATAGGGGTGAGGGAGACTAGAAACAGTATATTCAAAGGGTAGCAAATCCTATGACTTTGGAAGGCTTTTGTGTTTGTTTGTTCTTTGTGCCCTTAACATTTGTTTCAGAAACCAATAGCTGGCTTAAATATGGGTCACTGAGAGTTTCGAAAACAAAGACTGCTATGCTTTTGGCACAAAAACATGATCATCAGTCCTAACCTAGAGTTAGGCAGTAAGTTTAAGTGCATGACAAAGATATGCAATGTAGCACAATCTGTGTGGTAAGCCATTTATTGAATGCCTACTGTGTGCCACCCAATTTGGAAATCACTGTTCTAGGAACATTTATAATCTACATTGTTGTTTGCTGTCCAATTTTCAAAAACAGGAAAACATCTGTTAACTTTCTTGAGGATGTGATGGATATGAGGGGTAAAATATTATATACCTTAATTTTGTTTTATTTATTATGGAATTTAGCTTTTGTCTCCTCCTTCCCATATTCATGGAATTTTAAAACAGCCTCTACTATGCTTTGAGTGGAATACAGTCTAGACTTTTATTATGTACTTTAACTTTTCCTTGATTTGTCACTATACTGAAAGAAAGATTTAATTTTATCTGATAGTGTAAATGCATTTCTATCAGAGTAGTAGTCTCAAATCAGTTCAGGTAAAGTCAGTGTACATGACTTTGGATTATATTTAGTATAGTCAGCATGCATGAATTAAAAGGAATTATAGTAACCTTTAAAGTGAATTTTTATTGCAGATAATTTAAATGACCTCCAACCAAGTACTTCTGTCATGTATACATACATACTCATATACCCTTTGTATACAAGGTACTAAAAACTTAAAAAGTTTTCAAAAGATAATGTTTACTGTTAAGCTATATTACAAATATAAGCTGTATCATCTGAATGCAGTCAAAGAATAATGAAATTGCTATACCATCCCTTATGTGTCTTTACTGTTCCTTATGAGAATATCTGATATTTTCTTTATTCTCTTATTTTTAATGCATTAAGAAGTATAGTATAATAATCATTTTATATAATTCAAATGGATACATCACTGAAAAATGTATTTTAAAGTTAGAAAAATTATCAACATTCAGTTAGTGCATGGCACCTTTCTCCTCAAGTTCATCATCGGTGGTACTCTGTTGTTCTTGTAATTTTGATAGCCTGTGGGACCTAGTGTTCTTAACAGCTATGTTGTTTGTATCTCACTGTCCTTTATACATCTGACCCTCAGAGAAATACCTTTGAACACTCATGTTTTTAATAATCTTTCTTGTTTTAGAAAGGGATTGAGAGCAAGGCAATACTGTGTTAAAGGGGTCATTTGAGCTGAAAAGCAGTATGGGAAAAATGAACAAAATTCTAGGTTCTTCTGATTCAAATATTCTACATTACAGTCTCAACATTTGTTGTTAAGCGAATTACCAAAGTGTATAAGAGCCAAAAATAAATGGTTGTTTCTGTCATTTGGGGTATGCATTACTCTGTTTCTGTCTTATATGTGTAATGATGAGTTTTATAATGCACAAATGGGTGCATCTGGTGTAAAGTGAGTTTGATTCAGTGTGATGTTTTATATGCAGTTTAACTTATAACTTAAATTCTTTGACATTCATCACTTAGGAAAGGTAACATTTAGAATTATAGTACACTTAACTGCAGTTCCTTAACAACAGGTACCATGCTTTATTTATCTTTATAGCTTTAGTCCTTAGCCTAATATCTGGCACACAGGAGGAATTCAATGTTGATCAGGCTTTTTTGTACTTATCCTGGGAAAATTATTTTTCCTTACTAGGCTATCCGTTTACTTATTGGAGTTCAAATTTAGCATTGTTAAAATTATTACCTATTATAGACTTTCCCTGTACTTTTCCAAGACCCAACGTGTTTGTACATGCTCACAGTTTTCTATCCTTTTAGGTACTTAATGAAATTCTATCATGGCAAAAATTCCAATAAAATTACATTTACCATGATTCAGAAAAGAAATGTGTCAGGTATCTCCCATCAGTGGTAAAGCAAATCTACTACAATCAATTCAGGATATTGTGTTGAATAGAGTACACAGAATTATATTATCTGCTGATTTAAGGATGAAACCCATATTTCATATCCTATATGATTCCTATCTGGATAGAGGGACAAACAAAGCACACTATGCTTTGTAATTCATAGATTGCAATTGAGATTTTGAACTTTTTATATGAGCTTTCTAATTCTTAAGGAATGTTCATAAAATTTCACACAATTAAAAAATAGGTTTAATTATTTTACCTAATTATCTGAGTTTTTAGAAGTCTTATCCAGTTAAACACTGTAATATTAGTGATAATATAATATAATTACTTAGCTCTTCTAGAAAGCAAAAAAGGTAGTTGGGTTGTGAACAATATAGAGGGTAACATCGTGTAAACCACATGTGGGACACATGTAATTCCTATATAAATAGCTGACATACTTTTTCATATTTATAAAACTTGTTAGACATTGGCAGACTTGATTGGCTAAAGTCATAATTTGTCTTTCTAACTGAAACTACAGCAAATTGATTTGAAGTTGTTTTCAAAACAAAAGATAATTAAGTCCTGGAATAATTAAAACTGGGATTGCATTAAAGCTTACTTAAAGTGATTAATAGCTGGAGTGTATTTCACGATTTCAATCTAAAGAGCATGCAGAAGAACATATTGTCATTTTATATATTCAGGAATATGCTTTCTGAGGAAACTATTGATTCTTAGGAATAAGTATAATGAAGTCCAGACATACCTCACACCCACATACCCCACTCCACCCCAGGCTTTTTTAAAATTAAAGACTTTGAAAACAAAGTAGCTATATATGGTTATCTTCTTCACTTCCAATTCCAAGCTGCCTGGCTTTCTGAAGCAAATGGCTGCTGTGACCTATAAACAACTGTCATGACACCTTGGGCAGAGAAACACTGCTTTGAAACTTCTGCCTTCTGTTGGGCAAGCAACTGGAGAATGGTGCTGGAGTCCATGGGTAAATATGAGAAAGCAATAGACATTGGGACGAAGAGCTTGGGCTTTAGAGGTTTGTGAACTCCTGTAGGAGGAGATCAATATTTATCCATTTTAAGTACCGAAGTGTCGCTAGCTGCTAAAAAGCTAAAGTAGCTGAATGTCCTGGTGGAGTCCTCTCTGTCTTTGGAGGCTAAAAAGAAATAGAGATAGGACAACAGAGCTCTTTGTCCATGTGCCTTTGCAGGGAACTGACAGGCTGTTTACCTTTGCTTTTCACCACCTGTGATATTTCTGCCATTTAGGATAATCTGGCAACCAGACCTGAGCTCCAGTGAGTTAGCGAAAAATAGCAATTCATTTAAGGAGACCCATAGCAAGTGAGAGAGGAAAATCAGAGTACACACTCCAGGTAACTAGGACTACTGGCGAAAACATGAAAACTGAATTTGAAAACAAAAATTGGGAGCACTTAAGGAAATTCAAAGAACAGAAAATAATTTCAGATATTAAATATATCTCATTTGAACAACTCAGGATTTGTGGGAGAGCATAGTCACTGTCGAAATATGAATTAGTGAATGAAAAGACCAAATGCAAGAAATGTATCCAAGCATATAAAAAAACCCATGATGAAATATTGAAAAAAAAAAGATGAGATTTGGAGGATAGATCTAGAAATCAAAACGTGAATAATAGGAATTACAGTGGGACATTCTTTAAATATTTTTGAGCATCTCTGCACTTGGCTGCTAAGAAAACTGAGTTTTAGAGAGCAGAGATTTTGCAGGCACTTTCTCTGACTGTAAGCTAACATATATCAAATTTTAACAGTTTTTCTAAAAGGTTAAAAAAATCTACATAGAAATTAAAACATTCCCAGATATCTTTTGGATGAAGAGGAAATCACCTAGAAAGCAATGAAAAGGAAATATTTTTTGTAAAAGCCAATGAAAATTAGCTAAAATAGTTGTCAGAGGAAAATTGATGGCCTTAAAGGCCTTTGTTATTAAGGAAGAGGGAAGATAAAGATAACCTAATGTTAAGAAGTTAGTATAAAGAATAATACAAGATAGAAGATGAGGAGATTGTTAGAAAGATGAAAGTAATGAAATAGAAAAACCATATAGTAAAACCCGAAATAAATCTAAAGGCTGGTTCTTTGGAAAGATCAATGTGATACATAAACTCCTTGTGAAGATGATAAAGCAAAAAAGAAAATGAGCCTGTCAATTCCACTCTGAGGTATATACTCAAGAGAAGTGATAGCATATGTTCACATAAAATTTATACTCAAATATTCATGGCAGCATTATTCATAGTAGCCAAAAAGTGGAAGCAACTCATATCCATCAACTGCTGAATGAAGGAATAAAAATTATTCATCTATGATATATCTATACAATATAATAGCCATAAAAAATAATGAAGTACTGATACATACTATAACATGGATGAACCTTGAAAACATACTCAGTGAAAGAGGCCACACTCAAAAGGCTACATACTGTGTGATTTCATTTATATGAAGTGTCCAGAGTAGGCATATAGGTGGAAACAGAAAGGAGATTAGTGGTTGCCAGGGGCTGGGAGAAGGAAAAATGGGGAGTGACTGCTTAATGGGTATAGGGTTTCCTTTTGGAGTGATGAGAATGTTCTGGAGGTAGTTGGTGATATTTATACAACCTTGCGAATGTCACTGAATTATATACTTTAATACAGTTAAAATGGTGAGTTTATGTTATATGAATTTTAATTCACTAATAAAGCTTTAGGAAAAAGAATGACAAAAGTACACAATTAGAAATGAAAAAGAAGAAAAAACTGGAAGATGAAAAGAATGTTAAATAAGAATGTAGCTGTGTGACAAATTTAAAACCCTTGAGAAATAAAAGGACTTTTAGTCAAATACAAATGATAAAAATTGACCTAAGAAGAAGTAGAAAGCAGATGCTACTTAGCATAGAAAAGATTAGAAATTTGACCAGATGTTGTCACTTAAACGTAAGGAATACATAATTTTGATGTAATTTAAATCATTCTAGGCCATGGAAAAATATCAAAATATTCCATAATTTAATATCTAATTCTGTTAAAGATTATATAGTAAAAAATGTATAATTTCACTTACGAAGTATATTAAAAAATTCTAAGGAAAATGTTAGAAAATATTAACAGTGAATCAAAATAATAACTCACTAGTAGCTATTTTAAAATATATTTTTAAGTGGGAATGTAAGCATGATTCAATAATAGGAAATATACCAATTTAATTTATTACATCATCAAATTAAAGGAGAAAAATCATGTTTATCTCAATAAATGGCAAAAGGTATTCTAAATTTTGGGGGTTTTTTTTTGTCTTTTATTTTGAGACAGGATCTCACTTTGTCACCCAGGCTGGAGTGCAGTGGCATGATCAGGGATCACTGCAGCCTCAACCTCCTGGGTTCAAGTGATCCTGCCACCTCAGCCTCCACCCAAAGTGCTGGGATTACAGGCGTGAGCCACTGCACATGGCCTAAATTGTTAAATCCTAAAAACATTTTAATTAACAACAGAAACTAAACAAGGAACCATCACAATTATTTAACATTATTTTAGAGGCTTTATCATATACAGTTGGTAAATGATATAACATTAACATTTGTAGAGAAGAATGTCAGGTGTCTCTTGCTGATGATATATGGTCTAAAAATTATAGAAACTTGAATTTTAAAATCTAGAAAAATGAGTAAGAAAAATTGATAAGGTAGTTGGATAAAAGATAAGATGAAAACAACTCTGCTCTGGAGGAATTTGGGCATCTATGAGACTTTTTTTCCCAATGGGAAAATATTATTCCATTTTCCATAGAAACACAAATTACAAAATGCCTATTAATAAGTTTTTCAAGAAAGGTACAGGAACTATATGAAAACAAAGATATTAAAATGCATAAAACAGGATCTGATTAAGAGAAGGACAAACTGGTTTAGGATGGGAAAACAATAAAAATATTATTTCAAAGTTAATAAATTATATAATGCAATTCCAATTAGAATCTTGGGAGATTTTTTTTTCTTTTTTGAAGTCAACAGTGTTATTTTAAAACTACTTGGAAGATTAAATGGTAACGAAAGGCAAGCAAATATGAAAAAGCAATGAGGAGGGACTTGTATTACACATACCAGAACATATTACAAAGTCAGCTCATCTAAACAACATGGTCATGGCCTAGGCATACATAATAGATCAGTGGAAATGATTGGCAAATTCTGAAAAAGATGACAACTTAGTTGGAAAATGATGGATTTTTTAAATTAATGGGACTGGCATAACTGATGATCTCCATGTAAAAAAATGAAAGTATATTCCCATTTTGCACCTTAACAGTATTTGTTACTGGTGGAAATGTGATATATTCTACCTGTTATAAAATGCAGTCTTGTAAGACTACCAAAAACCTATTAAAATTATAATTTGCATATGATTTGCAAATACTTTAACCTGGCAGTCTCATTTTTGGGAATATATTCCATAGAAATATAGGTAGCAATATTTAAGAACATGTGTATTTTTTGGTTTCCAGGTTGTTGTAACTTTATTGTAGTGGTAAAACTGCAGAAAATAGTAATCCCATTAACAAGGTAATGCTAGTAAATAATGGAAACTCAACCATGGGCTATTATGCTGTCATTAAATGATGTGAAATAAAGCTATCTCAGATCTTCTGAAAGAATTTCCAGGAGTTTCTTATGAGTGAGAAGAGCAAGGTATAGAAAAGTGTGTATAATATTCAGCCTTTAAAAAATAATTACAAAGATCCTTGAATATGTATATTTATAAGTAATATCTGCATATGTATATATCTACCTTATAGTAGGGTTATTTTTAAAGGAAGAAGAATGTAGCAGGATGCATACTAAGTTATAAAAATGGATAACTATTTATGAGAGGAAATATGAAAGGAGAGGAGCAGATACCCAAGAAATAAAGGAAAAGAAAAGTTGTGCTAAAAACATGTTCAAAACCCCACTTATGTATTTTATTAAAATTAGGTATATTTGAATATAAATGCATAAATAAAAATAATTGGCCGGGCACGGTGTCTCACTCCTGTAATCCCAGAACTTTGGGAGGCCGAGGCAGCTGGATCACCTGAGGTCGGGAGTTCAAGACCAGCCTGAGCAACATGGAGAAACCCTGTCTCTACTAAAAATTCAAAATTATCTGGGCATGGTGGTGCATGCCTGTAATCCCAGCTACTTGGGAGGCTGAGGCAGTAGAATCACTTGAACCTGGGAGGTGCAGGTTGTGGTGAGCCGAGATGGTGCCATTGCACTCCAGCCTGGGCAACAAGAGCGAAACTCCATCTCAAAAAACAAACAAAAAAAGAAATTAAAATAATTTAAAATATTATGGCTAGTTTTGGTAGTAATGAGTTCATATTTCTGAATCTTGGCACCCAAGCAGATTGTTTTTTTCCTTTATATTTGCATTTTCTTTAAGTTAATTTTGGACCACGTGCTACCAGAATTTTCTACATGTTCTCTTAAATCTTCAGATGTTCTTCTAGCATTTCAGGCCAAATAAACATCTACAAATGATTTGTAGTTTGTGATTAAATCAGACTCTATTGGTCATGCCCACATCAGAGCTGACATGCAGTTGATATCCCTTGATAAAACTTAGAGCGTATGTTTCACTTTGTTCAGTGTTCAGTTTCTTTAGTTGGTACCTTTTGTGTCAGTTGTTAAATAATTTTAATATTATCCCTGTTGATGTCACAAATAAGTTAATTATGCCAATTACACATTAATTGAGTCCTTGCACATAGAAGTTGATTGATAAATATTTGCTGATTTGACCTAATAGATTACAGGTACAATAATGATTTCAACAAAGTAACAGAATGCAGAAATGAAAGAATTTAAAGATATTAGATGAAAAAAACCCTAGAAGTCAGCATAGAATATGATTATAGGCAAATCACTTGACTTTTGTATCTCAGGATCTTTATCTTTAAAATAGAGATATTTTCCTCAGTTACACAATCTTTGTGAGAGTCAAGTAAAATAATGTTGAAGTGCTTGAAAAAGCATGATGTGGATACAGTGATGATAATGAAAATCTGAAGGCATTTTTTACACTTAATGGACATTTATATATATATTTGAAGCTGTGTGTGTGATATTAAGCCTTTTGATATGTCAGCAATAGAACATATTACTGATGAAGCTATATAAACCTCCAACAGATAGAAGAGTGGAATGCATGGAAGGTGTGAGTACATTTAATCGCTGAAAGTCTAAGATAGGTCTCTAAAATTTCTTCGTTTATTTTTCTGGTCATTGAGGGGAGATTTTATTCAGGTACTTCTGATGATGTCTTATTCTAGTATAGAGACAGGAATATTTTGTGGGAAGTCTGGGCCTTTGTCACATCTTGACGTAATGATAATGCTGCATTATGTTTTGACTTATTAAATGGCCACAGACAGCTAAATACAGCTTTGTAATCTGTTTTATATTTCATTGGAAATTATCTCCTTGTAATTTATAGCTGTACTTAAAAGTGACTCTAGCATAAATGCTTTGAAATAGTAAAATCTTTATGATCTTTCAGTTACCAGACACCTAATTTGCCATTGGCCATTTTTTTGGTTGTGAGAGTATTAGGAAATACCTACATTAGTTGGTTGATAACACCACTATAAAAGTCTAAAAACTTAGACGTTCTTTTATAATAAGAAACGTAAGTATCATCTTAATACACTATAGTCTGTACCGTATGGTACTATTAAAGATACCTAGATTCTGGTTTGGAGAAAATTGAATGGATGAATGTGTCTAAGTCTAAATATATTATACCGGACTCTTTTTCCAAAGTATGTCTCCATTTTAAAATTTTCTTTCCCTAATCATTTGACTTTTACTTTTTTCATAAATATTCTTAAAAAATATGTTTAACTAGTTTAATCTTCTTCAGATTCTCTATTCTTCCAGTAGTAGACATGATGTTATAAGAAAGCTGAAAAGAGAGATCTTTTTTTTTTTGAGACGGAGTCTCGCTTTGTCGCCCAGGCTGGAGTGCAGTGGTGCAATCTCGGCTCACTGCAAGCTCTGCCTCCCGGGTTCACGCCATTCTCCTGCCTCAGCCTCCCAAATAGCTGGGACTACAGGCGCCCGACACCACGCCAGACTAATTTTTTGTATTTTTAGTAGAGACGGGGTTTCACTGTGTTAGCCAGGATGGTCTCGATCTCCTGACCTCGTGATCTGCCTGCCTGGGCTTCCCAAAGTGCTGGGATTACAGGCGTGAGCCACCGTGCCCTGCCAAAGGTAGATCTTAAAAGGAACAACAGTCTTTGCTCTTTCTCCCTTCCCATCCCTTCCCTCCCCTCCCCTCCCCTTCCCTCCCCTCCACTGCCCTCCCCTCCCCTCCACTGCCCTCCCCTTCCCTTCCCTTTTCTTTTCTTTTCTTTTTTTTTTGAGTCAGAATCTTGCACTGTTGCCCAGGATGGAGTGCAGTGGCGTCATCTTGGTTCACTGCAACCTCCGCCTCCTGGGTTCAAGCGATTCTCATGCTTCAGCCTCCCGAGTAGCTAGGATTACAGGCATGTGCCGCCACACCCAGCTAATTTTTGTGTTTTTAGTAGAGACGAGCTTTCACCATGTTGGCCAGGCTGATCTTGAACTCCTGACCTCAGAAGATCCACCTGCTTCAGCCTCCCAAAGTGTTGGGATTACAGGTGTGAGTCACTACATGCAGGCAATCTTTGCTTTTCATTTCTGTAAATGGACTTTAGGCAAGGCTAGTAGAAACAACTACCTCAACTGATTCTCTTTGATATTATATCTTTCACGTAATGAATCCATTGTAATAAATCAAACCCGTTTTCACCTTCTACTTGTGTATTGATTATCTTTATTAAATGTGAAATTAATAGCAATTGAGATAGACATATTTTTAAATATATTTCTTCACTGTTTCTCAATAATACTAATGTTACTCGAGTAGTAGGACCTATTAATATATGTTGCGTGCATTCTTGGATGCATATGTCATTGCCAGTCATCTCTTAATTTTGTTTTTTTCTTTCTCTATTCAAGAAAATTTCTAACCACCAGTGATCACTGTCCCAATTGCTAGTTGCAGTTTTGTAGAGAACACCAAGGAAATGGGAAATTAAAGCGATCTGTTTATTTTAATCCTCAAGAAACCAAAGCGATCTTCTCTTAATTCTTATTATTTCAGTTTCTTATAATTTAGGAAAGAAGTGTCTTTCATTTCAACATAAACTCTGAATTCTGGTGTCTTCTATCAAGACCTGCTTCTCTTTGGAATAGACAGAAATCAAATAATTATTTCTTAGCATTGTAATAAACATTCCAAAATATGACACCTGTTATCTTATTCAGCGGTCAGTTGAGTTTATTTGATTTCTCCTTCAAGTCTCTGAATTTCTTGAATCACTGATGCTCAGTCTTAAAACAATGGAGGTGGTTTTGCTTTTTTCTTTTCCTTTTTAAAATTTATTTATTTTTATTTTCTTATTTTTTGAGACAGAGTTTTGATTTATTGCCCAGGCTGGAGTGCATGGCATGATCTCAGCTTACTGCAATCCCCACCTTCCAGGTTCAAGTGATTTTTGTGCCTCAGCCTCCCCAGTAGCTGGGATGGATTATAGGTGTATGCCATCGTGCCTGGCTAATTTGTGTATTTTTAGTACAGACATGGTTTCGTCATGTTGGTCAGGATGTTCTTGAACTCTTAACCTCAAGTGATCTGCCTGCCTTAGCCTCCCAAAGTGCTGGGATTACAAATGTGAGCTACCACACCTGAACTGTTCCTTTTTTTAAAGACTAAGATTTAAGTTGTCTGAATAAAAATGCTTACTTGTTTAAACTTTTGCATTAACAAGGCTTGACGTTTATTGTTGCCTTGAATAGTCTCAATCAATCTTTTTAGCTTCCCCAGCACCTCATATTTGGAAATGACTAGATAGATAACATAGATTTTTTTGGACTGGCAGCATTCATACCACCTACAAGCTTAAAATGCAGAATCTCAAACTCCACTTCAGACCTAAAGAATAATTATATTCATTTTAACAAGACTCCAAGTCATTCATATGTACAGAAAGTGTGAGAAGTACTACTAAATCATTTGTCATTTAAAAGAATTGGACTTTAAGCACACAGAATTGGTGAATCATAACATAGTTCATAGTCATTTTTCCATGTGTTCTCCTTTTTTCTTTCATTCATTCATTCGTTTGTTATTTTAAATCAAAAGAAATAACCTGTGAGTCCAAGACCTAACCAAAGTATTAGAACATCAAAACTCACATTTCCTTACACCTATATTCCCTTAACCAGAAGTAACCACTATCTTAAACTTTGTGCTTATTGTTCCATTTTTTCATAAATAATACAGCTTTACCACTTATAAACTTTTAATATTACTCCTGCAGATGGTCACAAATAATACCAATTATTAACTTATTAGCTGTAGCTCAATAACTCATTAATAGCCTGCTGTATTTATCTGCTAGAATTTGCTTTTTTTTCAACATTAAGATATTAAGATTCACCCATGTTGTGTGTAATTGTAACTTACAGGTTCCTTTTCACTTCTATATAATATTTGTGACTATACCACAGTATAATCTATCCTTTCTTCTACCAATGGACATTTGAGTTGTTTCCCTTTTATTGTGGCTGTGAATGGTGCTAGAATAAACATTCTTGCACATGTTTCTTGGTGACATTTGGAGGACATTCTTTTAGGTATATTCTGAGATTGGAATCGCTGTGTCATAAGATGTATAAATGGTCTACTTTGCAGGAGATTGTCAAATTGTTTTCCTAAAATGATATTAGCCATTTACACTCCCACCAGCATTGTATAAAATATCCCTGTTGACCCATATTCTCTTTAACATATGGTATTGTCAGACTTCTTAATTTTTGCCACCTGAGTAAATAAAAAATACCTTACAGTAGTCTTGATGTGAACTTTCTTGCTTCTCAAGAAACAAGGCTGTGAACATGTATATGTGTGTTTTCCTACATGTGTCTTTTCCTTCTGTGAAATGGTGGTTCTTATACCTATTTTTCTTCTTTTTAAAAATTTGTATGATTCTTTTTCTATTGTTTGCATGAGTTCTTTATATTATAGATACTAATTCTATCTCTTCTCCCTTGTAGCTTGTCTTTTCACTTCTTTTAGGGCATTCTTTTTGTATGTATGTGTGTATTATTTTAAAAAATGATTATTAGCTTTATTTTCTACATGTAAAAATTTAACTTATTTTTAATTGACAACAATTATGTGCATTAATGTACAACATTATTTTAGAATACATTTACATTATGAAATGGCTAAATCAAGTTTATTAACATGCAATTACCTTACATTTTTGTGATGAAAACACTTAAAATCTATTCTCTTAGCAATTTTCAAGCAAACAATACATTGTTATTAACTATAGTCACCATACTGTACATCTCTTGAACTTATTCATTCTGTATAACTGAAATTTTATATCCTTAAACCAACATCTCTCCCATCTCCCCACCCACCATCTCCTGGTAGTCACCATTCTCTCTGCTTCTATGAGTTTCATTGTTTTAGCTCCCACATGAGTGAGAACATGCTGTATTTGTCTTTCCGTGCCTGGATTATTTCACTTGGTATAGTGTCTTTCAGGTTCATTGATGTCACAATGACAGAATTTTCTTCTTTTTAATGCAGAATAGTATTCCATTGTGTATGTATGTCACATTTTCTTTTTTTTTTTTTTATTTGAGGCAGGGTCTTGCTCTGTTGCCCAGGCTGCAGTGCAGTGACACAATCATGGTTCACTCCTGTCTTGACCTCCTGGGCTCAGGGGATCATCCTGTCTCAACCTCCTGCGTAGCTGGGACTACAGGCGCATGCCACCATGCTCAGTTAATTTTTTAATTTTTTTGGAGAGGTGGGGTCTTACTGTGTTGCCCACGCTGGTCTCAGACTCTTACCTCAAGCAGTCCTTCTGCCTTGGTTTTCCAAAGTGCTGGGATTAGAGGCATAAGCCAGCATGCCTGGCCTGTATATCACATTTTCCTTTTTTTTTTAAAAAAAACTTTAAGTTCAGGGGTACATGTGCAGGTTTGTTTATAGGTAAACTCGTGTCACAGGGTTTGTTTATAGGTAAACTCGTGTTTACCTATGTTTATTAGGGTATTCTAATAAACATAAAAATCTTAATTTTTATGTTCTCATACAGATTTTCTTTAATGGTTCATGCTTTTTAATTTTCTTAAATCATTCACTTGAGTTGATTTTTGTATATTATTTAGACATAAAAGTTTAAATTATTTTCTATAGAGAAACATGTTTTCCAGTTATGTTTACTGTATGTTCTTGTGTTTCCTCAGTGATTTGCCGTGCCAGCTCTTGTCTGTCAGGGGTCTGTATCTGCAAGGGCCTGTTTATAGGCTCTGTTTTCTGTTTCTTGGTTGATTGGACTATCTCTATACCAGTAACACATTTTACTAATTAGTACAGCTTTACAGTAAGTCCTTATATGTGGTTGGGCAAGTATCCTACAATTTGTTTCTTGAGTTTTATCTTTTTCTTAAAGGTCGGACACTCCTCCCCAAGCTAAATTTTAATTTAGAAAGAACATGCTTCATTTTTTATATATACAACCTAGTTATCAATGCATATGTATTTTTTAAAATGTCTTTAGGTTTATTTAAAGCATTTCTTACAGTAACTGCTTTGTTTGGCTTACATTTGTTGATGATGTCAACCTGTGGGATAAAAAGGAAAAAAGCCCCAACAAAATGTAATGGCAACCTTATAATATTCAAACTAATTCAATTGGAATACTACTACAAGTTCAGTATATTTAAGACTCTAAGTTGATATCATAATTTCTTAATTTAACAAAGCATAAAACATATACTATTCACTTACATTACTTTTTAGCAACTTTGTATAAATCTAAATTACTCAATGAAATAACATCCATTCAGGTATTATTAATACCATTTTTAGCTCTTTAATATCGCTACATGCCAGACAACATTTAAGTGCTTAACATATTTTAACTCATTGGTTCTTTTCAACACTATGAGGTAGTTAACATTATTATCCTAATTTTATTGATGAGGAAACAAAGGCCAAGAGTGGTCAGGTGGCTTGGTAGCTTGTTTATGTGGGGTTTATTCGGGTAGTGCTAAGGAATGCTGCCTTGTGAAATCTTTACTGAGTTATCCTTAAACAGAACTAACTTTTTGATAGTTTAGAAACCCCAGCCTCTCCTCAGTCCTGTACTAGTGCCACGTATTTTTATTCAGGAGAATGAAGTCAAACATTAGCATCAAAGCCAGTCTTGGAATAAAGAATATAAGGTACATAACCGTTGAGAAATATGTACAAGTGCCTTAGAAATGATGGATTGGATGTGTGTTTACTGGTTTTGAGCAGTAAGTTGATTGTGTATGTGACATATGTCAGGTCTTAGGTCATATTTAGCTTTGGCTGGAGGAACTTCCCTCAGTCATTGCCATTTTCTCTTCTCAGGTGTCCAGAGCTTATAAAGTGGTATATTTGTCAGAGAATTGACAAGCATTCTGCTTAGTGTTTCTAGTAAAGAAACACTTTTTGACAGTTTAATCTGCCTCCATTCTTAATTCTTTTGTGTTTCTAGAATGCTTACTTCTTTTGTTTTCTATTCTCTGTGTCTATTTTGATTTCTAAAATAAATTATATGATCAGATAGGTAAATAATTGTTTTAGTAATAATTCATACATTAGAACATCTTCAACTATTAATGTGCTATTCTAGATATTGTTAAATTATGTGAAGGGAAAATGGTATAGGGAAAGAAGTTTTTCTGGGATGGAATGAAAATAGGTGCCCACAAAAATATTAAGAGATAATGGCAAAGTGCTAATGTTTAATGAGAGTCCTAATATTTCTCATCTTTGCTGACCAAATATCTTAGGGGAATGTAAATTTGAGAAAATAGAAGAATCTTCACTGAGCTCAAGTGGATGCCATAGAAAGAAGTGTATTGTAGCATGGCACACAGAACTAGCCTGTGACAGATCATTTGAAAAAAAGAGCAATAATTAGACCTTTATGAAAAATCATGCATGTTTTTCACAGTGATTGGAGTTTCCAGGTAATTTACTGGGTTCTGACCTTTTGATTAATACGTGTTTGCCTCAAGAATGGGTGTTTGACTCTGAAAATTAGTCTGTAGACAAGGCAGAACTTGGAGGAGTGAGCAGTAGTTGGTAAATGATATAGCTATGTCAATGTAGGCTTGTGGAAAGGTGATTGCCAGTAGGTGATGAAGATTGGTGGACACTGAGGTTCTTAAAATGGGTAATCTATAATGCATAGAAATGTATTAATCAGGATGTGTAGCCATTTTAGGAATGTATGGTCAGAAAGATGAAGAATAGGATTAATATATAGAAAGTCTTCATAGACAAATGTTCAATGGGAAGGCAGAGCTTAGATTTTATGGAGAGGCAGGACAAATAAAGGCACTGAGGGACTGTGACACATTTTGACTGAATTAAAATCCATGGAGAACCAAGGATCTCCTCAGAGATATAGGATTGTATGGAGACATAATTTGACTTGATTTATATGAAATGTAGGAAGTAATTTTTTGGTTGAGGAACTTTTTTACATTTAAGGGAGAATGGGAAGCAAGAGACAGCTATATGCTAACATTTTGCTAAGGAAGATAAGAGAAGAGAATTAGACGGTCGCTGTCCATTGGTCTTGCAATCAAAAGTCAATAGGGAGGAACCAAATATGAAAAAAAAATCTTGGTATTTAGATTCATGCTTTAAAACCTTAGTTGGGCCTCACTAGTTATTTCAGTTTTAACTCCTCTTCCCCCATTAGAAATTCATCTCTCATCTTTACTTGCCAAGTTTTCCCCTTTGTTTCATGACAGAAATTAAGACGGTTCAGCATAACATTATCCACATTTTCTTTTCGATCAAGATAATTTCGATATGCTTGTATTTGCCTCATTGCCTGCTTCTCATAGTCTCTGGCTAAAGTGTTTAGTCTGGAAACTGCAGTATGATTCTAAATGCTCAGAAGAATCCTTCGAGGTCCAGAAATATGTAATTTTATTAATATTACTTAAAAAAGACCACTGAACTTGACCAAAGTCACTTTAAATTCTAATTTAAAATTTCCAAATTTAAAAATGAGGAGATCTTTCTCAAGTACAGAAAAACACAGACTTCAAGGGAAATAAAAATGAACTTTGAGCTTTAAGAATAAACTAAGACTTGGTTATATTGAAATTTTATGAATAGTGCAAACTTTTCTTCCTATAGGTGCTTACTGGAATATGGTAAGTTAGCGATTATATGAATTTAAACATGATGTGATTAATCATTATGTTCCTTGAAGATAAGCCCATCTCTATAAACTATAATATCAATAAAGCTTTACAACATTCTCTGCCATTTTTCTTTGGTCAAACTTAAATTATTGGAAAATAGTTTGTTAAAATCTCCTCCCCCATAGACAATAGTTCCATTTATTTTGAAGTAATGCATCTAGACCATCTCACTAGTAGACTTCAACTTCATTATTCTTGACTTCTTGACTCTTGTCTTTTTTTTCTTTTTGCCTCATAATCTGGAATCTTTTTGGCTAGAGTATCAATGAATAACAGATTGAAAATATTCCTTTCATCCTTTATTTTTCCTCCTTCATCTTAAATCAGTTCAGCTACTCCAGAAAAAAAAAGGATGTTAGTGGCAATAGGTAAAATTTGAAAGGCAAAATGTGACTTATTGAAATTGAATGATGGGTACAAGGGAATCATTTATTATGTACTCTTTTTGTATGTTTGAAAGTTTCCACAATAAAAAAGATTTTAAATGCACCCAGAAAATAAAGTAAATCAGCCCAATGAACAGATGAATTTATTGCCCATTTATAATCAGATTTGAACTCAGGAAATTTTAGGCACAGTTTATAAAACTGACCGTAGCTCAACGGGTTATAATTTTGTTATTTAGTGTGGTCAGTCCAGGCATTAAAGCACTTTGAATTATTACCTTAATGACAAAAGTTCAGGCCTGAAACTACCAAATAGGGAAGGCTGTCATCACTTCCTGTTGATTCTTGAAATTTAATTCCTTTTCAAATCTCATCTCTTTCTTTTTTTCCTGGTTAAAGTCACTTAGAAATTGTGGCTATTTTTTGCCATAGCAGCTGTAATACTTGGGTCTGAATCAAAGACTTTACATTTTATCACTTTTTTCTTATCTTTTTCTTCAGTGTACTTAATTTACTGCCTTGAGTCAAACATGTTCTATGGTGCCAATCTGTTACAGTGGAAAGAACACTGGATTGAGAGGCATGAGTTTCTAGTTCCAGCTTTCTCGTGAACTAGTTTGGTGACTTTGGACAATTATTTCACTTTTTACAACCTTCTAACCTGAAATTCTCTTCAATTCCTCATTTAGTGATTTTTAACCATTTGGTATCATTTTTAGAAATTTACCTTTCCTAGGTTAAGGCAATTGACATTCTGCAATTTGCCCCCGTCTGGCTTACATTCATCCTGATGGTTTCAATCCCCTCAAGTCTTTACTTTGTGTTTTGTTCCCAAAATAACTCCTATTGACTCAAAAAATTTTTTTCTGTTAATTTTTTACTTAAGTTGCTTGTGCTTAGAGAGTTTGTATGATGTTAATTCTTTGATATTTGTTGAGACTTTATACAAGATCTACTACATGATAAATTTTTTAATAGACTTGATTTTTTTTTAGAGCAATTGTAGGTTCACAGCAAATTTGAGCATAAGATACGGAGATTTTCTAAACACATCTTACCGCCACATACATAGCCTCCACCATTAGTAACGTTTTCCAGCATAGCGGTACATTTGTTACAATTGATGAACTACGTTTCTACATCTTTGTCACCCAGAGTCATAGTTTATGTTAGGATTCACTTTTGGCGTTATACATTTTATGGGTTTGAATAAATGCATAATATTATGTACCCACCATTATAAGACTCATACAGAGTAATTTCTCTGCCTTAAAAATTATCTGTCCACCACCTATTCATCCCTCTCTCCCCCAGCCCCTGGCAACCACTGATTTTTTTTTTAAGCTGTCTCCATAGTTTTGCCTTTTCCAGAATATCATATTGTTGTAATCATACAGTATGTAGCCTTTTAGATTGGCTTCTTTCATTTAGTAATATGCATTAAAGACTCCTCCATCTATTGACTTTTATTAGCTAAGTGTCATATAAGTAATTCACAGTATTACACTCTTGCTTGTGTGCTTTCTCTCTCTCTGTTTTAGAACAGTGGGGTTGGATACGGTAAAAGCAAGGAATCGGAATCGTGAAATTGAATATTTGAGAACTACTTTATTCAATTTAGAACTTTCAAATAAATTGGTATTTAGATAAAATAGAAATAAACACAAGCTAAAATTTATTGAATGCTTTCTATGTGCCAGGCATTGAGCTTCCCATGTACCTAGCACTAAGTGTTTGTACTGTAGGATTAGTGTGCTTTAATCATGGTTCTGGTGTATGAGTTGTGGCACCTTGGATCTCACATTTCTCATCTATAAGATATATTATACAGGGTTTTGTGAATATTAGATGAGATAATATGTATAAAATATTTAGCACAGTGTCTGAATATGGTAAAATGCCTGATAAATTTTAGCAACTTTTATTACCAGTACTTGAATTATCTTATTTAATCATCAGAAAAACTCTATAATATAGGTCCTTTTATTTCCCTCATTTTAGTGATGAGTACAAAAGGGTTAATAATGTTAAGGAATTCATTTAAAAGTAAAGCCAAGATTTGAACTTAAGCAATCTGAATCAGAACCCACATACCTTTAACTTTTATACTCTGTTTCTTTCTAATTAGTAAGAAACATATTCAAGAGAAGGTAAAGGATCAATAAATGATTTTTAAATTGTGGTCTTGAGAGGTGGCCCTAGGATAATCTAAGTGATTAACCAACTATTCTCTCAGAGTTGGTTAGGTTAAGTGGGGATCTTGTTTTGATGGACCACCCAGTATTTTAGACATTATCTATTTTTTCAATATCGTTTTCAAAGAAATAAATTATACTGAGGAAATTTAATGTGTTACTAAAGAATAGAAAATATACTAAATTTTATTTGAGGGTCATTCTCTTTCTAAAATAATCATAATAGCTATTAAAAGTTTTCATGTGAGCATATTTTCTTTAATTTGTTTCATAAGCTGTTTTGTAGGAAAGTGTTACAAAAACATTTGTACTTGGCGTGAGCCCGGGAGGCGGAGCTTGCAGTGAGTGGAGATCGCGCCACTGCACTCCATCCAGCCTGGGCGACAGAGCGAGACTCCGTCTCAAAAAAAAAAAAAAAAAAAAAAAAAAAAAAATTTGTACCAGGTAAAGTTTTAGGTCCTAGAACCACTAGTGATATTTATGTGAATATGCTCTTATTTAGACCTAGCCAAATAGTTTAATAATATTTATTATCATTAGATGTCACTTTCTTAGTGTAAAACGGTTAGTTCTGGTGAGGACTTTTTTTTTAAAATAGGGGAGCAGGCTTGATGGAATGTTAAGTGCGCTGGTTGACCTAGGTTAAAGTATGATTACAGAGTGACAGTGAGGATTTAATTCAACAGTTTATGTGAAGAAATTTTATAACTTATGTGATAGAGAAGTATCAATTATTGATGTGAATCATTAGTAGTTAGAAGAGATCTATAATACAAACCAGGAACAGTAGCACACACATGTAGTTCCAGCCACTCTGCAGAGGCTGAGGTGGGAGGATTGCTTGAGCACAGGAGTTTGAGTCTGCAGTTAAGTTATTACCACACAACTGCACTCTAGCCTGGGCAACAGAGTGAGACTCCATCTCTAAAAAATAAAAATTAAAAAAGAGATCTACAATACAACAAAATTTGAGAATTTCTGGTTTGGGAAGAAAGGTAGAAATTGGATTACTATGTAATGAATATTTCCTAAGGGTTAAACACTTTATATATGTTCTCATTTAATACTTTTGCCTTCTCTTTGCTATGAGGAAACTGAAATTCTGGAAAAATAGTAACTTGTTTAAGGTCACAGGTAGTGAATGTGGAAGCTTCTTTCAAATCCAGGCTTTGACTTTAAAAGCCACGTTCTTTCTACCGAAGCACTCTGCTTCCCATACACCTAGAGATAGAGTGTATGGCCCATGAATAATTAAGAGTAAGATGAAAAGCTAATCTTTCAGTTTCTCATTGAGACACAGTGATGCCTTGCATTTATTATTCCTCCTTTTACTATATTTAAACATTTCACAATAATTTATTTATCTTTTAAAAAAATAAGAGCACTATGAATTTGACAGGAAAACTTGTGAGATATCAGATGGATTACATAACTAAATATTGTATATCACAAGCTAGTTTTTCTCTACCTCTGGTTTCTTAACTGAAAAAAAAAAGAGTTGTGGAGAACGTTAATGGATTGTAATACACAAAGGAATAAAATAATTTATTAAAAATAAAAATTCCTAATTTTGAAGCAGATGACATATTTTATATTTCTGTTGATTGTTTTTTAATAATACCTAGGCAAACTTGATTTCAGATTTATTGATGAGAATTCCCTGCTTTATACAGAAAATATTCCTGTAGAAACCAACATTTAGATAATCTGATAAGGTCTGGGAAAAGGTGAGTTCTATGTAGCTGGAGTAATCAAAGTGGTATAGGTTACACAGAAGTGTTAAGGAAAAAGATAAGAGAAACTAATTTGTGTTAAAATTAAACTTTTTTCTAAGTCAGCTTTTCATACTCTAGTTTTGTTGTTCAAAGTACATTCATTCTTATAGAATATTAGGTATGCCAATGCTTAGATATAAATATAAAAACACATTTCAAAATCCAAACAAATTATTTTTGGATTATCCATACCTTATGTCCCATCTGTTAGTATAAATAATCAAAGAGTACTGTATTTTCAAAAGCTCTGGAGAGTGTTACCCTTTCTGCACTTTCTGCAACAGTATAATAGAATTTGGCAAAAACAATAGCATGTTTTGCAATGGTTGTGCAGTTAATTGAACATCCTGTCAATGCTGGATTTGCTGTAATTTTTACAGATAATAAACAGCAAGCTATGGTGTCACCCTATGTATATTCACTTAACAATATTTATTTAATTGTTGAGCACATAACATATTCAGATCTTTGTACTTTGAATACAGATACATGATGACTACAGCATGATTAGGAGCCTTGAGTTTTTGTGGAAGAGATAGGCATGTAAACAACCAACTTTATTTGCCCTAATAAATATTGCTTATTTTGAACAGTTAATCTCTTTCTCTTGCTCTCTTTTTCTTTCTCTCTGTCTCTGTCTCTCTCTTTCTTTCTCTTTCTCTCTTTCCTGGGGAAGAAAACTAATATTTATCAAATGCTCATTGTGTGTAGACGCCATACTCAAGAATTAATAAATTTTGTGTGCTTTGACTAGAGCCTTGCACTTTGTATGTTCACAAAAATGTTATCTCTTATTATCAATCTAATGTAGTTATCAAACAGTTCTGTGATATAGTTATTCTTATTTTATAGATAAGCTATATGAGACTCATGGATAAGTAACCTGCTTCAATATACATATCCAATAAATATTTTTAAAATCTGAGTCCAAAGCCCATACTGTAGAATAGTGGCCTCAAAAATAAAGTCCATGCATTCCAAGAAATATGCAAGATGATGCGTTAGGGTTTGAGAGGAAATAAAAATTGTTATTTGTGTTTTTTATTTAAAAAATCTAAGAAGTTAAAGTTACCAGCAGTTAATATGCCCAGATAGAGCTGGGCAATATCAGAGCATTATTTACATGCATTGCTACTTAAACAGAACATCCTGATGGGAGAGAGTGGAGTTTGTTAAAGAGTTGGAGCTACTAAATGTTATCTGTGCCTTGTTATGTGGAGTCACAGATTAGTGACAGATTAGTTTAACTAAAACTAACTCTTACAAAACAGACAACTGACTGAAAAAAAGCATAGAAAAGATGATACTAATAATCCAAGCCCATTTGAAAAAGAACATCCCTGAAACATATTATGAACACTTTGTAAACTACATTATAAAGTAAGAACAATGATGATTTAGCAATATTTGAACATTGATCAAAAATAATAATCAAGAAGTCTATTTGAAATGATTTATATTCACTGTCATTGAAAAAGAATGTCACCCTCAGTGTATGGTGTGCGATGGTGGAAGACCATTTCATTGGTAAGGCATTAAAATCTAACTACCTAGATCATGAATCAAGCAGTGTTTAATGTCACGTGAGACTCAGTACAGACTTTACAAAATCATTAAATTAATATTTAGAAGACTTTTGGGGATTTAAAAAACAATATTAAAATACAAACATATTTACCATTGGAAACACTGTTCTTCAAGAGCAATAATGGCTGAAATAATGTGTGAAAAATAATATGGCAACAAACTATCACATTTGTCAGCAAATACTGCTAGAATATGTATAGAAAACATTGCTGAAGATTTGCAAAAACAAGTATTGAACAAATTATGCAGTGTGGAATGTTTACTATATAGTTAAATGAAAGTACCAATATTTCTAACATTTCATCCAATGATATTTGCTAGGCTCAATTGAAATAATTCGAAGAACTATGTTGTTATAAATCACCAAAATAATCACTGGAGAAGATTGTGGCTAAACAGCAAAATACTGCCCTACAGTAAAACAGTGTGTTCTTGAAAATCTATGTTATCTATAGTTACATAGTTTTAGAATATTGGAGTGGTCGATTTGAATGGAATAGAAAAAAGCTTGCCGAGGCAGGTTACAGAACTACTTCTACACATGAAATCCCTTCAGTCTTTTACAGACAAGCTATTTTAACAAATAAATTGAAGTCACAAGTACACACAAGTGCTGTAGGACATCATTGATGTGGTCACTTTGTTTTCGTTTTTTAAGTTAAAGCTTTAAAATGTAGTCAAAAATATGTTACCAAATGTGAAAGAATCTTAAAATTTTAGTGGAATCTTTATGATACTTTGTAATAAGATGGAGAATGGGCCATGAATATCATTTGCACCACTTGAGGTTCACTGGTTATCCAGTGGTAGAGTATTGAGAAGTAATAAGAAATTTATGGCAGTTATGCATTTTTCTTTTACAGAATGACAAGGTTCTAATTTTACTCACCTTTTCTGTTATGACAGGTGACTGTCCATACTATGCGCTCTAATGTATATTTTTGAAAAATAACATATTCGATCTGTCTTTTTAAAGTAGTAGTACTAATAATGAGTGAGAAGGTAACTGCTTTTTGAAGGACCTGTGGTTATGGAGAAAACATTTCATATTGAATGTTTGTAATTCTTTTCATTACAATGTGATTTTCTTGCCAAAAACCAATGTATTTGTAAAACTAGTTTCTATATACATTGAAAATTGTACAAAAATATATTGGCATATTTTGTAAAACTTGGAACATAATGTTATAACTTACTTTAAGATCTTTCAAATGTAATCTTTAAATTGATTTTAAAATCCTTTTGTTAAAAAATAAAACGCTACACCTCTTAGTTTATAGGAATGACTTATTCATCTGAAGATGGAAATTTACTAGCTAAATTTCAACAAAGTATTTTACATAATTGGCCATTAATATTGAAAATTGATTATTTTGATGTAGTAAGCACAGCCATTGATACTCTTCTTCCATTTGAATTTACTATTTTGTGAGGCTTTCTCCCTCAACTTACCACCACCCCTCCTCTGCACCCATGACAACCATTATATCTAAGTAACCTGAAAATAGTACTGTATTTTCAGATGACTGTTTTACAAAGTGTAAAACCAAGCCAAGACGTAGAGAATGACACATATTTACTCAAATTTTTGTTTTAATGTTTTTCAGTAAGAGCATCAAGAGCAGTTTGCTCTTCAGTAAGAGCAAAATGTTTTAAAATTGTTGATAAACAGAGCCCCAAATTTAGAATGTTTACTTCTTGTTTACCTCAGTCTTTTAAAATATCTATTGCTGCATGTTCTGTAATGTATGTATTGTAGTAATGTATGTATATTATAAATAATTATGCATATATTGGAGTATGGGCTTATATTAATCAATGCCAAGACAAACAGAAATGACTCAGAAAAGAGGAACTTCAATCCAGGGAATTGATTACAAAAGTGTTGGAAAGTCTGGTTGAGCAAATAGAAGGTGGCAATATTATTTAGTAACAAATTCCTTCAGAAAGCAAGGGAAAGTTTTGTTATCCAGAGCCTATAAGTATTATGCTGCCGCTGCTGCTGCTGCTTCCACATTTTGCTGTGGCTGTTGGAATCACCAATCTCACTGCACTGTAGGAAGCCAGGTGTCCGCACTCCTATGGACACTTCAAGAATCCAGGATAATATGTAATTTCTTGAATTCTGTTGTGCTTGTAACAGCTGCTGGAGCTTCCAGTCACTTGTGGTGGCTGCTGTTGTTCTGCACTTGCATTGTTCTGCACTTGCATAACCAGTGTTGCAATCAGCAGTCCAGAGCCTAGATACCAAGACTTCTGTGCTGCAGACCCTGTTGGAGCACCATTGCTGAGATTTTCAGTGCCAAAAGCAGGAGGCAGGAAGAAGTCTGTCTTTGCCTTTGATCTTATACCAATGCTTCATATTCTGGCAAAGCCATCTAAGAATTGTAGTTTTTAACTTCTACCATAGAAAGAGTGCCTGGAAGAGGAATTCACCCATCAATTATATGCAAACTATTTTAGTGAATAAATCGAAGTCAAGAGACACATAACTGCTGTAGGATGTCATTGTTACTGTTTTTTAAAATTAAACCTTTTAAACACAGCAGAAAATACTTGCAAACTATTCATCTGACAAGGGACTAATAACCAGAATATATAAGGAACTCAAACAACTCAACAGTAAAAACAATTAATTGCATTAAAAAGTGGGCAAAGGACATGAGTAGACATTTCTCAAAAGAAGACGTACAAATGGCCAATAGGTATAGGAAAAATGCTCAACATCACTAATCATCAGAGAAATGCAAATCAAAACCCACAATGAGATAACATCTTACACTGGTCAGAATGGCTATTATTAAAAAGACAGAAAATAACAGATGCTGGTAAGGATGTAGAGAAAAGGGAACTCTTATACACTGTTGATGGGAATGTATATAAGTACAGCCCCTATGAAAAACAGTATGGACATTTTTCATAAAATGAAAAACAGATCTCTCTATTGCAATCTCTCTATTGAGTATCCCCCTCAAAAAGAAATCAGTATATCAAAGGAACACCCGCACTCCCATGTTTATTGCAGCACTATTCATAGTAGCAAAGATATGAAATTAAACCTAAGTGTCCATCAGTGGACAAATGGATAAAAAAATGTGGCATATATACACACAATGAAATACTATTTGGCCGTAAGACAGAAGGAATGTCATTTGCAGCAATGTGAATGGAGCTGGAGGTCATTATGTTAAGTGAAATAAGCCAAGCACAGAAATACAGATATCTCGTGTTCTCACTCATGTGGGAGCTAAAATGTTGATCTCATGGAGGCAGAAAGTAGAATGATAGATAATAGAGGCTGGGAGGATTGAGTGGGTTGGGAGAGGATGAAGAGAGGTTGGTTAATGGGTACAAACGTCAGACAAAAGAAGTTCTAATGTTCAATAGCAGAGTAGGGTGACTGTAGTTAATAAAAATATTCTATATTGCAAAATAGCTAGAAGAGAGTACTCAAAAAAAAAGAAAACCACATAGAAATTATAAATACTCAGGGTGATGGATAACCTAAATACCCTGACTTTGTCATTACACATTTTATGCATGTAACAAAATATCACATATACCCCATAAATATGTATAAATACTTTATGTCATTTAAAAAATAAAAGGTAAATCTAAGCACAAAAATGTAATAGAAAATACACACCCAAACATGGAAGAGCCTTAAAATTTTAGTAATAATCTAAAATTTAGATAGGAATGGAGTTGAGAACTAACAGTGATCTGTGCAAAGTTTTAAATGTTTTTACTGAGGGAGCATACACTTTTTAATAATCGGAGAATCAATTTCTTGAGAGTAGGGGAAGGAACTCAGTGGTAAAACTACATATTACTTCACTTTTCTTGATTAGCTTTAAGAGATGGATTTTGATTTGACACCTAAAGCTAGGGTTGATATTCAGGGAATACACACTGTATTTACAGCCAGCATCTGTTTTGATTAGTCATGGTAACATTTCTTCTGTGCCCATTCCTTATGAGCTATAAATATTTTGACTGCCACTGAGCACTACCTAAAACTTCTCTAATTTATTATTTATTTCTATACACTTATTAAGGTAACTTAAAATAATAGTAATAGTAAAAATGTAGTGCCTGGAAAACTTCAGAATTTAATTATTGAATTATTTTATGTTATCAAATATTCTATAATATCTATTGTTTTATTGTAAATATGTATTTTTAAACATCTGATTAAACTGCTAAAGTGCAAATTAATTATTGAGTGGGTATTAAGTGCATTTATTGGTGGAAAAATACTAGGGAGAGAATTTTAATTACTTTAGACAAAAGTTACATGAATTTTATTAAGATATTAGCTTACAGTGGTTTGCAGTTTATTTCCGTTTGTGACCTTCAGATAAAACATCATAAGAGGTATGTATTGGAGTCCCAAACCATTTAATTTTTAAAATAAAATTCATAATAATGATTTATTTCTTTCATAACTCTTTTTGTAATTAATACAGATTTCATTATGGGCAGTGTTCTTTTGTTGATTACTAATAAAATTTTCTCAACTGGTGAGATACTGTTTGATATTCAAATTTCACATAGGTTTAAGTGATGTTGGGAGTATTATTTGTGTTATGGAAGATCCAGTTATTACATTTTCAGTGGTAAAGTGCCATCGGTTTGAAATAGAGTAGTACATCATATTTAGTGATAAGTAAATTCAATCCATTCAAATGTGTGGACATTTAACATGAAGGAGGATTTGTTTTATTTTTATTTATTTATTTATTTATTTATTTATTTATTTATTTATTTTTATTTTTATTTTTTTGAGATGGAGTCTCACTCTGTTGCCGAAGCTGGAGTGTAGTGGCGCAAGCTCGGCTCACTGCAGCCTCTGCCTCCCAGGTTCAAGTAATTTTTCCTGTCTCAGCCTCTTGGGTAGGTGGGATTACAGGCACATGCCACCTAGCCCGGATAATTTTTGTATTTTTAGTAGAGATGGCATTTTACCATGTTGGCCAGGCTGGTCTCACACTCCCAACCTTAGGTGATCCACCTGCCTTGGCCTCCCAAAGTGCTGGGATTACAGGCGTGAGCCACCACACCTGGCCGGATTTGTTTTATATACAATTCTCTTCATTGAGATATAAACTGATAAACTAGTCAAAATTAAGTAAATGACAATTTTGAAATACCCAATATAAGTGTAAAATAAAATTTAATGTAATTCATTTCAAATTTTTATTTTTCAAGAATCCTACCAAACATATCGGACATACATTCTGAATGTATATACTGTAAAGTAATTTTTTGTATTTAATACAAATGAAGAAGATAGATATTTTATGTAGATTATGTTATAAAAACTTTTGATCTGACCTTATACATTTTTTAAAAAGTTATGGCTATAAGCCTACAGCTTATTGGGGCTAAGTGATTTTTCTTAAAAATAAAAGATACCATTTCTACCTATTTTGAATCATCCCTATGGCCTGTTGCCTCAGAGGGCTTAGCAGGCTGCTATCATGCTGACTCCGTTATTAATAACTCGCTTCAAAATTGCTGGACAGATTGCTATTAATATTTCCAACTCTTTTTTTTTTTTTTTCTAAGACAGAGTCCCTATCGCCCAGGCTGGAGTGCAGTGGCGTGATCTCTGCTCACTGCAACCTCCGCCTCCCGGGTTCAAGTGATTCTCTTGCCTCAGCCTCCCGAGTAGCTGGGATTACAGGTATGTGCCACTATGCCCAGCTAATTTTTTTGTATTTTTAGTAGAGACGGAGTTTCGCCATGTTGGCCAGGCTGGTTGCGAACTCTTGACCTCAGGTGATCTGCCCACCTCGGCCTCCCAAAGTGCTGGGATTACAGGCGTGAGCCACAGTGCCCCGCCTAATGTTTCCAACTCTTTAATCAAACTGGTTCATGGTATGTTTCTTTCATCGCTTTTGAAAGCTATTTTTTAATATACTAGTCTTTTCCATTATCCTTTCTTTAAATTTTACTTTGAGATACTTAATATACTTTTCCTCAAACAAATATAAAATTTTAAGTTCTGAAATTATCTAGGGAACATATATCCTTTCAAATCTGTTCCCCATCATTAGTCTTCTTTTTCTACCTAATATCACCAGTCTGTTATTCTAGATAATTTTTGGAGTAATTTTATAAAGCCCCTCCTTCTATTCCTTACACATTCTATTTGGATAGATGTTAGGCCCGACGTTTACTACTTATTAGGTCTGTGTCTTTGGGCCTCTTTTTGTTTATGTATAATCTGAAAATGAGATTTCTTTTAATGCTGTTGGGGGATTAAATGAGAAAGTGTATGTTGGGCTGTTTCTGACACATGTAGTAGAGATAACTTTTAATAAAGCATTCTTATTAATAGTAGCAACTTTTGTATTTTGGAAAGATATGAAGACTATTGAGTTTTTGAGTATAGCCGCACCAGGTCAAACAGTAAGGATCTCACCAACCTGCTTGACAAACATCTATGGCAATTAAGATGTACCTTTTATATCTTCTCTGTGACTTTTATTTTTCCTATAGAATGCACTCTGTAGTTTCTCTTTCCTTTCCTTTTGTATTAAATATAAACTGTACATATAAGTAAATTATGTAGATGTGGAAACTTTTAAGATAGTTGCTGGCATTGTTGTAGATTGTTTAGTAGAGAGGATTGACCAGGCAGCAGAAGAGTTCATATAGTATATGTGTCTAATACGTTGTTCTGGAGCCAGGGAGATATTACAAATAACATTTTTATATTTTGTAATCCATTGATTTAGCATTTATTGATTGTGTCACAAAAGTACCCTCTTCTAAATTTCTAAAGATAATCATATCATTTAAGATCAGCTTATAGGAGTAGTAACAACAGCTATAATAGCATAATAATCTTATCATTCAGATACTAAACTCCGTGCCACTTTTCCCCATGGTCATATTTCTCCTTTACAATTGTGGAAAATGACTCATATATAGATATGAGTCATTCTATATTAAAGATACTTTTGATTTTCTACTCTTTGCTATTTACTATTCACTGGCCACTGTTCACTCTACCACTGGTCACTCCGAGGAACTCCGGTAATATTTTCTGTCTTATTAGGAAACTGCCGTGATTATAAAGGCTACAGTATATGGGTGAATGTGAGGCAATAACTTCATTTTTTCATTATTTGATTCTTCGTTCTACTACTATATAAGACTGTAGAATATACATTATCCTTTCCTGAAAGTTTGGAGAGAAGGAGAATATTTGCATCACAAAACATAAACTTCATAGAATTTATTATTAGGCATTACTTTAAAAAATCTGGCCACGTTTACATTGGGAAATTCCCACTACTCCTCTTCTTCCTCCCTCTCATCTCTGTGCTCCCCTAACTTCAAATTGTTACTCATTTTTTATGTAGTACAGTTTAACCCCACAAGAAATATTCATGCCTCACTCTCTGACTCCAGCAGCTTATCAAGATGTTTTCCTCAAAGAGGACAATTCCATTCCCATGAAGTACTCTGAAGCCAACTTCAGCCTTTTACAAACACTTATGTTATAGATTTGAAAGAAATAATAGATAAATGAAATGTGAAGGCAAGCTGAATTTTCTTTTCAGAAATGATGTTTATTGAAATTCTGATAGTTGTATGGGAATATCTTTTTTTTTTTTTAAGTTCCAGGATACATGCACAGAACCTCTACATTTGTTACATAGGTATACGTGTGCCATCATGGTTTGCTGCATCTATCAACCCGTCATCTAGGTTTTAAGCCCCACATGCATTAGCTATTTGTCCTGATGCTCTCCCTCCTCTCACCCCCCACCCGCCGACAGGCCCTGGTGTGTGTCGTTCCTCTCCCTGTGTCCATGTGTTCTCATTGTTCAGCTCCCACATATGAGTGAGAACATGCAGTGTTTTCTATTCCTGTGTTAGTTTGCTGAGGATTATGTCTTCCAGATTCATCTATGTCCATGCAAAGGACATGATCTCATTCCTTTTTATGGCTGCATAGTATTCCATGGTGTATATGTACAACATTTTCTTTACCCAGTCTATTATTGATGGGCATTTTGGTTGGTTCCATGTCTGCTATTGTAAATAGTGCTACAGTAAACATACCTGTGCATGTATCTTTATAGTAGAATGATTTATATTCCTTTGGGTATATACCCAGTAATGGGATTGTGGGGTCAGATGGCATTTCTGGTTCTAGATCCTTGAGGAATCGCCACACTGTCTTCCACAATGGTTGAACATTCCCACCAATGGTGTAAAAGCGTTCATATTTCTTTGCAGCCTCGCCAGCATCTGTTGTTTCTTGACTTTTTAATAATCCCCATTCTGACTGGTGTGAGATATGAATACTTTTTTTAACAAACTTTTTTTTTTTTTTTTGACACAGTCTCACTCTGTCACCCAGGTTGCAGTGCAGTGGTGCAACCATAGCTCACTGCTGCTTTGACCTCCTGGGCTCAAGAAATCCTCTCACCTCAGCCTCCCAAGTAGCTAGGACTACAGGTGCATGCCATCATACAAGGCTGATTTTTTTATAGACATGCGGTCTCAGTATATTGTCCAGGCTGGTCTCTAACTCCTAGATTCAAGTGACCCTCCTACCTTGGCCTCCCAAAGTGCTGAGATTACAGGCATGAGCCACTGCATGCAGCCTTATCCAACTTTTTATTGTGAAATTCTTTCAAACATACAGCAAAGTTGAAGATTACTTTTTCTATTTTTGTTTGTCACAAGATCTTAAGATAAGGATGTGTTTAATATGTGACAATACATTTTTTGAAATGCTATTTACTTGTTTATATCATCCTTATATCTCAAATTTATTTAAGTTTTTAATTAACCAAGGTTTATAAACCCTATGTACTGTTGTTTGTTTAGTCATTCATTCTTTCAGGAAAACTTTTTTGAGCTTCAGATATATTACAGGTGTACTGCCAGATGCTAGACCAACAAAGCTTAATAAGTAGGGTCTCTGCTCTGGGGGGCAGAGGGGAAGAAGGTGGCGATGGTGGGGAGGGAGTCTCTTAGTCTTGTAGGGAGAGAGGCATATAAAATCCTCTGGCCATAATAAATGTACTTCCAATGACTTAGTTTACATGTAATACTTTATTTTAGTTTTAAATTTAAACATTTGTTGATTAGAATTTAAATTAGATGTGCAACTCTTCCCATTTAAGGATGGTACTCCTGGCCTACTATTGTCCTTGGGCCCGATGGGATACAATTTTAAAATAGATGACTAGGGTTAAGAATTATTGCCTAATTGGCCGGGCACAGTGGCTCATGCTTGTAATTCCATTACTTTGGGAGGCTGAGGCAGGCGGAACACAAGGTCAGGAGATCGAGACCATCCTGGCTAACATGGTGAAACCCCGTTTCTGCTAAAAATACAAAAAATTAGCTGGGCGTGGTGGCGGGCACCTGTAGTCCCAGCTACTCGGGAGGCTGAGGCAGGAGAGTGGTGTGAACCCGGGAGGCAGAGCTTGCAGTGAGCTAAGATCGGGCCACTGCACTACAGCCTGGGCGACAGAGTGAGACTCTGTCTCAAAAAAAAAAAAAAAAAAAGAATTATTGTGTAATTACGCCACTTACAATTAACTTTATGGTGGTGTCCTCAATGGCAAAGTCATTTACTTAGCGTAGCAATTACTCATTTTGACCCACTAATCCCAGACTTTTCTTGTCTGGGCACGGTGGCTCACGCCTGTAATCCCAGCACTTTGGGAGGCTGAGGTGGGCGGATCACAAGGTCGGGAATTTGAGACCAGCCTGACCAACATGGTGAAATCCTGTCTCTACTAAAAATACAAAAATTAGACAGGCATGGTGGCACGCGCCTGTAATCCCAGCTAGTCAGGAGGCTGAGGCAGGAGAATCGCTTGAACTGGGGAGGCGAAGATTGCAGTGAGCCGAGATTGCACCACTGCACTCCAGCCTGGGCGACGGAGCTGTCTCAAAAAACAAACAAACAAACAAAACCCCCAAAATACACAAATCCTTTACAATTGAATTCTTGCTTTTTTAATTCCTTTCTCAGGCTATAGAAAATAGGAAATATTTTATTGTGTTTATTATTTAGTTCTTTAAACAATTATTTGCATTACTATTAGATATTTGAATCTTGAACTATGCAACCTTTAAGAATGCATGATAGAGTATGTACTTTAGATGGAGTTGCTGGGTACCATTAAATTGAACGTATTGAGAGCTATGGGTATTAAACAGCAAATTTTCACTATTCTGTGTTAGTAAGCAAGATAGGGTAAGAAATCATCAGGACTTACTAGATTTGACTCACAACCACAGAGTCATGGCTGGATGGGGCCTTAACTATCTTTAGGTATTGGGTAAAACAGTATAGTGTAGGGATTAAACACATAAACTCTAAGCTAGACAGGCTGGGTTCAAATCCTATCATTATTATTATGCTATGTGATCTCAGGCAAGTCACTTAATCTCTCTTTTTTCTTCATCTGGAAAATGAGACTAAAAATAATTCCTACATTATAGGGTAATTGTTAGGCTTTAAAGAGTTAAGAAATAAAAAGTACTTAGAACAGTTCTTGACACATAGTAAGCACTTAAGCATTGGCTTTAATAACTATTATTATGATACGCTGTTCAATTCCGTCCTTTTAAATTTGTTATTTTTAGCATAGGAAGAAACTGAAACTCAGGATGGTTGCATGACTTGACGAGGGTACGCAAGCTATTTGTGGCAATGCTGGGACCAGAACCAATTTTCTTTTAATTTATTGTTTAATAGACTTTTTTTTGAGTAATTTTAGTTTCATAGTAAAATCGATGGGGAGGTACAGAGATTTCTCATATACCCCCTGCCTTCACACATGCACAGCCTCCCCATCATCAATATCCCCCACCAGAGTCATATATTTGTTACATATGATAAGCCAACTTTGACATATTATTATTACTCCAGGCCCATAGTTTACATTAAGGTTCACTCTTGGTGTTGTGCCTTCTGTGGGTCTGAACAAATGTATGACATCTATCTGTCACTATTGTATTATACAAAGTAGTTTCACTGCCTTGAAAATCCTGTGTTCTTCCTGTTCATCCCTCTCTCTACCCTAAACTCTTGCAAACAATGAGTTTTTGCTGTCTCCATGGTTTTGCCTTTTCAGAATGTCATATAGTTGGAATCATACAGTGTATAGATACGTACAGTGGATAGAAGGCAATCTTTTCAGATTGGCTTCTTTTGCTTAGTAATATGCATTTAAGTTTCCTACATGTCTTTTCATGGCTTGATATCTCATTTCGTTTTAGCACTAAATAATATTTCACTGCCTGGATGTACCATAATTTATCCATTCATCTACTAATGGGCATATTAATTTCTTCCAAATATTGGCAATTATGAATAAAATTACTGTAAACATCTGTGTGTAGGTTTTTGTGTGGGCATAAGTTTTCAATTCCTTTGCATAAATACCAACCACTGCAATTGCTGGATTGTATATGTGTTTAGTTTTGTAAGAAACTGCCAAACTGTCTTCCAAAGTGGCTGTACCATTTTTCATTCCTACCAACAATGAATGAGAGTTCCTGTTGCTCCACATCCGCATCATCATTTGGTGTTGTCAGTGCTGTGAGTTTGGGCCATTCTATTACATGTGTGGTGGTATGTCATTGTTATTTTTAATGTGCATTTCCCCAATGACATATAATATGGAGCCCCTTTCATACGCTTATTTGCCATCTGTATATCTTCTTTGGTGAGGTCACTGTTAAAGTCTTCTGCCCATTTTTAATCAGGTTATAATATTTTCTTACTGTTGAGTTTTAAGAATTCTTTGCATGTTTTAGATAACAGTCCTTTATGAGATGCATCTTTTGCAAATATTTTCTTCCAGTCTGTGGCTTGTCTTTTCATTACCTTTACAGTGTCTTTTGCAGAGTAGAACTTTTTAATTTGAATTAAATCCAGCTTATCAATTATTTCTTTCATGGATTATGTCTTTGGTGTTGTATCTAAAATAGTCATTGTGAAACCCAGAATTATCCAGATTTTTTCCTATTTAGGAGTCTTAGAATTTTGCATTTTACATTTAGGTTTATGATCCATCCATTTTGAGTTAATTTATGTGAAGAGTGTAAAGTCTGCGTCTGGATTTATTTTTTTGCATGTAGACGTCCAGTCGTTCCGTCACCACTTGTTGGAAATACTGTCTTTGCTCCATTGTATTGCTTTTCCTTTTAAGTCAAAGATCAGTTGACTATACATATGTGGGCCTTCTCCTGGGCTGTCTATTTTGTTGCACTGATCTGCTGTGTCTATTCTTTGCCAGCATCATGCATTCTTGATTACTGTAGCTTTATAGTAAGTCCTGAAGTCTGGTAGTTTCATTTGTCCAACTTTGTTCTTCTCTTTCAATATTATGTTGGTTATTTTCAGTCTTTTGCCTCTCCATATAAATTTTAGAATCATTTAGTTCATATCCACAAAATAACTTTCTGGGATTTTGATTGGGATTGAATTGAATCTATAGATCAATTTGGGACAGAACCAGTTTTTAACTTCCACTTTAGGATCTTTCTACAGAACCAAATTGCCCCATGACATATCAACACATGAAGCAATTTAATTAAATAACTTTATAACTTCCATAGTATGGTAGTCAATTACAATGATTTCTTCAGACCTTATTGTCTCCAGTCCCAACTAGGGAAAGTATATCTTGAATTCCAGTAAGTACTAACAATGTACTACTTATTGTGCTTTGAATCTAGTAAAATGTACAGATATGGGAAAAGTTTTGAGATGTTGTACATTCTTCTTCTTCTTCTTCACCTTTTTTTTTTTTAATTTGAGATGGAGTCTTGCTCTGTTGCCAAGGCTAGAGTGCAGTGGTGTGATCTTGGTTCACTGCAGCCTCCACCTCCTGGGTTCAAGCGATTCTCCTGCCTCAGCCTCCTGAGCAGCTGGGACTAGAGGCATGCACCACCACCCCCAGCTAATTTTTGTATTTTTAGTAGAGGGGGTTTCCCTATGTTGGCCAGTCTGGTCTCGAACTCCTGACCTTGTGATCTGCCTGCCTCGGCCTCCCAAAGTGCTGGGATTACGGTGTGAGCCACTGTGCCCGGTCTCATTTTTCACTTAAGCCAAAAGATTTGTTTTCCTTTTAAATTTAGCTCTCAGGTTGTTTTTTAGAAAAGAGCCTTCATGGTCCTTTATATTCCTTTTGATTCCTGCTGGTAGAAACCAAATACGTCTTCTCCTTGAATAAAAACAAAATGAAACAAAATAAAATACCTAGAACCTTATTTTAAAAATTCAGAAAATACAAATATCTAATTCAAATCCATCTGTCAAACTCTAAGTTTTATGTGTTTTTTTAATTGACATTTTTCTTAATACATTTTAATAAAGCTTCGGAGAAACAATAGGGCAATAGTAGAAAAGCAGAGCTGCCAGGCCAAATAGTGAGGAGGAGATACATGCTGGTACCTTGGGCACACTAAATATATTTTGGAAAAGTTTCTCTACAGACAAGTGACCTGAAGTAGGAGACTGTTAAATCATTTTTAGTGTGTGTCTGTCTCCTTTTAATCATCCACCCTTGGGAGGGTGATATACTACTGCAGCACTAGAGAGGTTGAATTGGTGGATTACGATGAGACTAGAGTGGTCTGGACTCTTGGTTTCTTACTAGAAATTTTCCCAGGATAGCTTGTATAATGTATAGGTAGATATTACATTCTAATGTCTGTGCTGTAGGTTAGCCACCCTGAAAATAGCTAAAGCAATATTGATCTGTATTCTAAACATGACCCAAAATTTATTTGACATTCTTAAAGATTTTTGTGAATAAGGTGAAGAATCGGTTGATCTATAAGTTATATATTGAAAGTTATTTAATTTTTAATTGAAAACTGATTTTTTTTAAACAAAAGAATTGAAGCTGTTGTTTCAAGGTAGTTTTGTTTATGCAGAGGGACATATTCTAATTTTTGAAGCATGTTAATACACAAAACCACATAAAAAGGATGATTTTTACAATTCATATACTTAGGATTATTGTTGCCCAAACGCAGGGTTTGAATAAGTCAAATGCACTTATATTTTTTATTTGTGTGTAAATATTTTTTAGAAAATTTTACCTCTATTATAATGTTCTTAAGTCCCATCTAAATGACACATAGCCAAACTGTATAGAAATATATTAAGGAAGGTGGGTGTCTAGATAGATAATAGTGCTAGAAGGAGATATGACTCGTCAAGCAGAGTCTAGTTTTTAAAAATTCGGGGACGAGGAGAGTGGCTTAAAACTATTTCTGTTTTCTGATGTTTGTAATTCTATAGCTGCAAATATATCACTTACAGGAGAAAGGGCACCTAGGAGTGGGGAAAGTGGGTGGGAAGCATGTGATGGGGTGAGGAGTATAATAACATCATAATTTTGGAACTAGAATATAGAAAAAATCTGGTTAGAAGTATCAGACAAAGAAAAACTGTTTTTTTTCTCTTTTAAGGCAAGTTTATTTAGAAGCATTGATTATTTTTATTTTTCCCTCCTAATAAAAGATTAAGGGTAACTGCTGTAGTTTCAGTCCCATATTCTATGAAATATCATCCTGATTGTGATGGTAGCTTCTTATGGGATTTATTTCTGTTGTTGTACCACTATGTACTATACGCATTGCACCTGTTCACACAGAGTACATTGCATTGTGATGTTTGTACAGCTAGATGCTTTAAATGAGAAGCCAATCTCCCTTCTTCTAGGTTCCTAGCCTATTAGTTACTTAATTAAGCTTAATTCTGTTTTGGTCTGTAATTTTGTAAGTCTGCAATTTTGTATATGGTCTCGATTTATTAACTGAGCAATGATTTCTTCTTTGCAGTTATCAGTTTTGTCTGAGATCAGTTTTCCTATTGTATGGAGTCTGTTTCTTACAGAGCCTCCTTTAAGACTGCTCTGACTTTAAAATCATTACTAGGCTTTTGTCAGAGCTGATTTGTTCACATTCTTCTCACATTAAAAATAAATTTAAAAGATTGCACAAATAAGCTATGCATTTCACTATTTCCTGCTTATATGCAAAAAATGTATTTATGATAATTACATGTACTGCCAGAACTGAAACAATACATTCCTCATAATGGAGCATAAATAAAGAAGGTGGAGCCAGCTGCTCTTAAACTGTTTATTTGCAAGCAATAATGATATAGAGAATATACCTTTTTCACTCTGTTAGTCTGGCAATACTGAACCTGTTGCTGCATTAGACGAGTTGCATTTTGCTGGATAGGGGAAGGAGAGCTGTCTGCTGTCTGGTAGGAGGGCTTTGTCTGTGCCTTTCTCTCTGTTTCTTTCTGTTTTTCTTTCTCTCTCTCTCTCTCTCCTCTTCTCTCTCTCTTACTCGCTTGCTCTGTCTCTGTCTCTCTCTCCCTCTCTTCCCCCCTCCCTCCTCTCTCTTGCTCTCTCTCTCTCTTCCCGTCTCTGTGGTTTGTAAGGTAGGTTGCAGTGTGTGTATATACACAACATCAAGAGCAGGAAAATGGACTCATTAGGGAGGCAGGCAGTCATTACCACTCACACTGTACTTCCAGGGAGACACCGATTATAAGAAGAGAAACTCAGCGCTGGGGAAGAAGGTAGGGCAGACAACTTTCTTAAAAAAAAAAAAATCCTGCTTCCTCAATGCCCCCTCTGTCATCTCCTTTAGCCCCCAATGCCTTTATTCTTTCCTGCTTGAATTTTAATTTCCAGATTTAAGTTTGACAGAGCTAGTGCTAGCTTAAAATTTAGAACATCTGTAGGAGGCCTACCCTTTACTAATTTTCTTCCTACTTACTTAGGGGTGTGCCCTTGTGATTCAGTTTTGTTACTTTAAAAATAATTACAAACAAATCTATTTTTCTCACTAAAGTACCAAATAAATCAGAATCTTTCACTCTTTTAAAACAGACCCTTCCGTATGTTTGTCTCTTTGCTTTTCTTGTCTGTTTATGCAATTCCATCTGTCTGTCTATATATCATGTTGTCCTTATTTATTGCTAACTCGGTTTTGTTAGTTATTTGCCAATGAGTTTTAGCTGCAGTGCCAGTGTGGGTATTACTAAAGTGAGACTCTTGTTCTTTGTTTTATGTTGAAGTTTAAAGTCCATATTTACAGTTTAAATCCTTGAAGCAGGTTGAATACTTTTTGCCAGCATGTTTATTTAATGCCATTGGACATAAGGTGAGGGGTAGTTGCTGAGGGTGGGTAAGAATGGAGTAATTATTTTTGTCATCACACACATAGAAACATTGCATCTGGGGGATGTATTTTTAAACAAATAAGGTATTCTGTTTTCTAACTTTTATTTTGCAGATGGGCTTTTACATTTATAGGAATATCACTTTGGTTAGTAAGAATGCGAACTTTCTTAACAAGCAGTTTTTATCCTAGGACAGTTTCCTTTTAGTATGTTACTGTTTATTTATGCTTGGGGAGGGTGGAGTGAGGGGCTGGCCATCTTTTTACAAAGTGGAAGCTATGAAGTGTATCAGGCCATCTTGCACAACAACTGTAAGTATTCATTTAACATTTTGGGGAGCATAAATAATATAATTTTTATTTCAAATTCAGTTTTGTGGTGCTTTCTTTTCCTTTATTTCTTTTTTTCTTTTTTATAGTGGGAAAAGTTACATTTCAAACTAGCAGACATTGTTGAAGAGTTTTCCCAGAATAGTGTTCTTCAAAATTGAAAGGATTATTTTAATAAGGGCCATTTGAAATGGACTTCTTAATGGAATTTTATTTCAGATTTGTCAAAGTAAAACTGCTCTTCATTTGATAAAATTTAAGTCACATAGATACACAAATGTTTCGGCATATACAGAGCAATGTTAGAAAATGGATGCTGATCTGTAGAGATCTTTGATAATAACAGTCATCTTTTTGTAATAAATTATTTATTTAACAGAAGTGGCAGACTTTTTTCCCCCTTAATTCCATTAGGCTTCTCTGACAACACAAAGAAGTCCATAAAGCAATATTCTTAACCCACCTGGGACACTAGAGCAGATTCCCAAACACATTCTCAAGGTTCAAACCTAGTAAAATGTTTATTAAAAATCCATTATTTCAGGAAGGTGATGAACTTTTGCTGCTGAAAGACTTTTTTACCTCTTCTTTTAAAAAATTAATTCTGAGACTTTCAATTTGCTTATCTTGCCTGAACAGTTTTTTTAAACTGGATAGGCTGGCTTTGACCAAGAGTAGTACAAATACTAAGTACGCTCAATCAGGTCCCGTCGGAGATTTTTTTCCGTAAGGTCTAAGGGGAACTTTAGGAGAGTATTTTATGTTAATATGGTACACGATAATTTTGTTTTTCATATACAATTTTATATATACTTTATGCCATTTCTGACGGTGACCCAAAAATTTGTTTCAAAACTGATACTGTATGTCAAAAGTGTACATGTCTCATGCACCTGTCATTTTCTGTGTTAGCCTTGTGAGGACCATCTAAAATTCTACTGTTTTTATCAATAGAAATCTTTCATCTATGTCTTGATTAGTCATTCTCTTTTTCTGTACACACATACAGTGGCGATATCTGTGCATACATGTGCATGTATGACACGAAGTCATACATGTATGGATAAATACATCACAGCTTCTTTTCAGATACAATATTTTTAAAAATTTCACTTTATGTGTGTTTATGTTAACCACAAGCAAACAAAAAATGGAGAGAATTTCAAGAGAAAAATGAAAATTTCCTTTAACCTTTTAGCAAGAATAAAAGCAAGTAATAATGTAGCCATTTTTATGTTTGGTTTAATTTTTAGAATGTGTATATGTTTTCTTTTGCATTATAATTCTTAACCTTCAGTAGATCTAAAATATTTTTAGTATGAAAAATAATCTTGGCCTTTTCTGGGAGGGACTGTCACAATCTAAATACAGAAGGACATTATAAAATGTGCATAAATAAACTTCAAACCACTGTACTCTGCTGTATAGGGATTTGGAAAGCTGAAAGGCTTGCGTTACAGGAGCGCTATAGAATGCCAGAAAAATTCATTAATCAGCCTTATTGGTTATAGTGGGCTCTTCCTATCAGCACATGATATCTGCCTGTTTAGATCCCCAAAGTCTTGGTCAGGTCACAGTGTGTTTCATTTTAATGTTGGAGCAGACAGTTACCTAACACACCCACATGAGGAAGTGCTCTAAGAAGTTACTTCATGCTTTGCCATGCCCTGTAGCTAAAACAATTTGGTACTGAGTGACGTGTGTGTGCTTTTTAACGTGTGTGTGCTGATAAAAATCAGCTTTGGCTCTTTGAAAAGGACCAAACAGTAGATTTTTTTTAAAAAAAATAGGGCACTTTGGGAGGCCGAGGCGGGCAGATCACGAGGTCGGGAGATCGAGACTATCCTGGCCAACATGGTGAAACCCCATCTCTACTAAAAAAAAAATACAAAAACTACCTGGGCGTGGTGGTGCATGCCTGTAGTCCCAGCTACTCGGGAGGCTGAGGCAGGAGAATCCCTTGAACCCGGGAGGTGGAGGTTGTAGTGAGCCGAGATCGTGCCACTGCACTGCAGCCTGGTGACAGAGCGAGACTACGTCTCAAAACAAATAAATAAATAAAATCAAATAAAATGGAATGCCAGACCATATAATTCAAATGCTAAGCATATGCCAGTTTAAACTTTTTCTTCTTTTTTAACTTAAGAGGAGAATCACTATGATTATTTTTAATATAAAGACTATATAGTGATTTATTGGATTTTACTCATTAGGGTTTCAAAAATTGCAGATACTTTTTATTCTGCACATTTTTATCTCCAGAAGCCTATATTCATCAAAAGGATAGCAGCTGCATACTTTCCCCATGAAATGTTAACAAATAAATGGCATTCCTGTTTATTTATCTATTTTTGAATTTTAATGATTAGTCCTTGTGCTAATTAACAAATTCTCGTATTCATAAAATCTGGCACTACATAAATATCTAATTGTGTGATTATCTACACATGTTCTGGCTTTCTATAAATATAGAAATTATCAGTGGATGTGTTCATGGACTTGCCCAACTCTAAGCAGTGGCCGGTCATGCCGCCACATAGGAAGCCAAATTCAGGCCCTGAGCAAACGTGTTACCCCAACATCTGGCAAGGTATGTTGAAGCAGCAGCACCTGGCTAATATTGCTAACTAGTGATCTTTTCTGGCAAAAGAATGACTGGTGTTGATATTCTTTGAATGCTGCTAGCTCCTGGGTTCTTCAGCCTCAAGGGTGGCCTCTGAAGTCTAAATGTTGAAAATGGACATTAAAGCTGGTTTATCTTGGAGGTCACTTTATAAATATATTTTAACAAACTACATTTTTGGTGGGAGACATGTTTTACTGTAAAACATAAGTAAAATAGTATCCTTATCCCTCACTTTCTTAACCAGTGAAGATCTAAGTTACCATGAGAAGTCACAAAGCACTGAAAAGAACCTCTAAATATTTTCATTTGCATGGCTGTGTAACTATTTCAGGGACATTATAGAAATCAGGTATTACCTACATAGAAACAGTTTACCCTCCATCAAGGACAATAAACACTAGCAATCGGACAGGTGTGTACCTGCCAGAGTTATCATTAAATTAGAAACCAAATCTTTAAAATAATTTGTTTCATACTGTGTAAGACATTTTTGTTATTTTATACAATTACTATGGATTATTTACAGTGCTAATACAGTCAGCATTTACATTTGATACTTTACACCAAGCTTTCAAGTCATGTATAGGTGTGTAGGTATTTTACAAAACTTGAAACTTGTAATTTTCTTGAAAAACCCATTTCATACATTTCCATTGCTTAAATAAATTCTAGCATTTTGCATAATCTCCAGGAACTATAGCTAATGTCAAATAAACTAGCAAGATCAATTTTATTCTTTACCAAAAGCCTGAAGGCAATATACATATCTTAGATATTCTAGAGAATACCTGAATTCATGTTTTCCTATTACATAGATATTATACATTAATCATCAAATAATGTTGATGACAATTATGTTTAATATATCAAAATATCCTTGAGCTCCCCTAGTTCTAATTCAGCATAGGCAAGCTGATGAGGCTATGGGAAGAAATATGCTATCTATGATTACTATCATGTATGTAGTAACCACTACAGCCGGTGTTAGAAACAGCATTCAAGGGCTTATAAGAAAAAGGGCTTTTTTTTGTTTTGTTTTTTGTTTTTGCCACTCTAGCTGTTCAACTGTAATAATGAATAAGTGGCATGCTATTTCTGTACTAAACTGTGGAAAAATTATGCTTGACTTTGGCTTCATAACCTCTCTTATACTCCAGGATCAAGCCTTTTGGTAATTCTATAGTTCATTTGAAAGTAATCAGCTTGAGGACATGGAGCTTGCCTTTCTGGAATCTTTTGACACTCAGCTGAAACTCTAGCCTTGGTGTTTTGTAGTTCAGTTAACCAATGCAACCTTTGTAATTGTCTTAACTTGGGGAAAGCTGGCTACTGACTTTCAAGTGAGAATACTGAGACAAGGAACAAGGACTATGAGTTCATTGATTCATCTAGTTTCCAGAGGGAAGAAGAACATATTTTTTATTAATTCTGAATATTCAGTCTTACCTTTGAAACTCTGATAGAAAATGTGGTAATTACAGCATAATATGTTTACCTTCTTGATATTGGAAGTAATTTTGTCACTGAATACTTCTGTGTCTTGAGATATGATGAATTTAATGTTCATATTATGCATTTAAAAGGTCAATCTATTTGAAAGTTTTTATATTACATTACTAATGTAAGGATTTACATTCAACAAATATAAAATTATGGTATGAGGTTGGGGTTATGGGATATCAAAAAGATAGATGCCCAATTGGTTGTAACTAAAAATGTAGAAATGGTAATAATTACGAATCTTATACATAGTAGTACTATTTTTGTTATTGGGAAAATTCTTAATTTAAACTTTTTAAAATGAAACATTTAAAATTATTTAAATTTTAATTTTCTCTAATTTTTAGAAGGCTTTACATTTTTGTTTTTTACTGAATTAGCTTAGATATTTGCCATTTTTACCTTTTCAAAAATTTTCTGTGAATTACTGTTGTAATTAAATTGTGATTTGTTGTTGCAATTCCTTTTATAGTATGAACTTCTTTCCTGTAAATGGAATGTAATTGAGAGAAAATTAATGTTGTCAGTTTGTTCAGGTAGCAACTTAAAACTTAGTTAAAAAAAAAAAAAAGCTATTACTAGCAGAAAACTAGAAATGTTCCAGGCTATGTAATTTTTCTAGTTGATATATATGTGTATGTGAAAACTATGTGGCTTCATTTTAAATAAACAAAAATATCTTATTTAGGCACCAAGACATTTAAACAGTGAGAAAATGTTCCTCTCTTTTATTATTTAAATAGACTAGGCAAATACTTTGTAATGGTGACTTTATAAATTTTTTGTTTTTTTTTCTTCTTAAATACTGGACACATTAAAATTCTTCTTGGCCCAATAAATATACTCTGGTTCTGACCATATTTACTAATTTCTCCACTTCTTGGTTACTTGTACCTATTACCTTAGCTTTAGGTAAGGCAAAAATAACTTACTTTTTATATTAGCCCTTACTTTCTCTAGTTCTCCAAATCAACAGTGATCTTTATCCCCTCACCTCATTTCTAGAAGGGAGACGACTAGAGATGATTAAGAAACAAGTAGAGAGAAGTTGAGATAATGTGAAGGGATAAAGCTGAGGGTACAGGGGTAAAGCTGAGGGTAGCTGAGGGGTTGGTGCTTTTGAAGCTTCTAAACTTAGAAGTATAATGAAATAAAAAGACTTCTTCCCTAACTCCCGTTAAAAAGCATTTGACTTATCTGTACAGCATTAGTTTTTGCATCTCTCTAAAGCAGATCTATATAAATTCCCTCTGCACTCCAAGACAGATTCCAGTGGTACCACCAAAGAAGATCATAGAAGAAAAAGTCAAAACATCTCACATTTCTAGAACATCCACTGCCAGGTTTCCTTCATACCTTTTGCCCTTTAATTCTTGGGTTCGGAGTTGTGAGCAGATTTTTATAGTTGGTGGACAGATTTCATTTGTTTTGATAAGAAGCTTTACCAACAACACATTCCCAAAACATGCCCCCAAACAGCATCACATGCTGAATTAAAATAGATGAAGTGATTAGCTGGATAAGTGTGCGTGTGTTTCCTTTTTAAAAACAAAGTCAAATAATTTGTATGAAACAAAACAAAAAGAACTTTTCTAGCAGTCTGAATGAATTCAGGTTGTTTCACATAATGGCTTTCTGAAACCATTTTTTGTATAGTAATTTTGACCAACACATCCACCTATTCCCTACCCCACTTGCTTTTTCGCTTTCTAAATGTTGGATGAATGTAATTCCTTAATATAAAAATAATTGTGTTCTTATAACACATTCAAAATATACCTATGGATATGAAGATGTGGTACGGCCTATACACAGTAGTTTCACTTATATCACCTTAGTCTGAAAATATATGAATAAAAAACATTTTTAGAAATTATTTTTCTGGTATGTTGAAAGAAACTTTATGGTGTGATACAAAAAGCATTTCCTGGGGAATCAGGAGGTATTAATCAATATCAAAAAGGATTTAAAGTGGTTAAATCTGGAGGTCTGGTTTTTTGTTCTGACTTTGTGACTTTGAGTACATCATGATCTCTCTGTCCCTCAGTTTCCTTCCTGTAAAATGAGGAGAAAGCTTTTTAAAATATTTTTTCATCTTAAAGACTGTGATTTTAAGTAGCTATATATGTAGATAATCTTGCTTGCATTTTCTATCTAAAAGTCACAAATAAATGGAGAAAAGTTAGGGTGGGTAATAAAGGAAGAATAACGGACATTTATGTGGCTTGAGAGAGCACAGGCACTTTAATTTTGTGATGATTTTTCTTAGCTTAACTACATATCATAATGTATTATTGAGTCTGTTTAATGATTGAACGAATGCCATAAACCAAAAATAGTCATTTGTCAGACAAACTGACTTAATTGCCTATGGGTGATTTGGTAAAAGGGCTGTTTTTAATGGAATGAAGTGCAGCATGGTTACTATGGCTCCACTCCTCTCCACTGGCCACTAGATGGAGAGGCGATCCGTGTCCACTGCCTTGCCAATAGCAAGCAGTTCACTTCTGACTTCCTAATGGCAAAGCTGCACTCTATGCCTTTGGACATTTCTATGAATACACACATGACATTTTGGAGAAGTCATCAGAGAATATGTCCTATTTCTATATAGGCATGATATAATATTCATGAAATGCAAAATACTCCTCTTTAGGCCAGTGTTAATGTTGGTAGACCCAGTCGGCCAGTATTACAACTGTGGTGTTAGTTGTCACAATAGGGTCTATTCTGTCTCTTACAAATTTGTCCATTTAGAAAGGACCCTGAAATGAATGTCAGCACGACAGTGCCACCTTGTGTCCCTGTTGCTGTGCAAGTAACTGATGCATGAGTTAGTGAAAAAAACAAACAACAACAAAAAAACAGGACATTTGCAAAAAATTGGCAAATTGTTTCAGGCCCTGATTTCGTAGTAGCTGTACCAAAATTCTATAATATGTTTTAGTCTTTGAAATTTCTTATTACCCAAGAAAAAGTTAGGATGTGTGCACTTTACTACTTTTCTCCTATCAGGGTATATAAAAAATTCTTTAACAATTCTAGGCATAAACAGGGAAGTATTTAATTTAGAATTGGAAATGGAGAAGACAGGGATTGTCAGAGATACTCACTTAAGCTCGGTCATTTCAGGCATTGAGGTGCTCCTTCTTTCACATTCCCACAGCAATTTTATATGCATAACTTGGCAATATCACCTCTCACATTGTATTGCCATTGTTTGTAAGCACATCTTCCAACTAAACCTTGAGCTTCTTGAGGATAGTGTCTGTGTCTTATTCATCCTCCAGAACCTTCTATTGGCATTCAGCACAGAGCTATGCAAATATTTGAGGTCTAAACAAATGATTATGTCTAGCTGGTTTATAACATTCTCGTGTATATATATATATATATGTATGTATTATATATATGTGTGTGTTATATATATATATATAAAATACACATTTCTTTGTTGTAAATAAGTTTGGAGCCTTTTTACTTTGGAAAAACAGCTTCTGATACCACTTCCTGCCTAAACATCCCTTTATAAATTACCTTCTTCCTTTTATCTTAAAATGACCATTTTCTCTTTTTGATTATGAAAACAAGGCATTGCCTATTCACAAGTGTGTATTGTAATTGACTTTGATGTAAAGATAATTTTTAATTCTAGCTTTACAACAAATTTGCTATTATTTGGGGTAACATACTTAAGTTTTTTTAGGTCTACTTCCTATGTATAAAATGAGTGGACTGGACTAGTTGATTTGACAGGATTTTTGTAGGGATTGGGCAAATGTTAGTATTATTCTAGCTGTATATTTAGTTGTACTTTTTAAAGTACCATCATAGTTGAAAATGAAATTGCTAGCCTTTGAAAGTGCTATTTGATATTTCATGTTTTAGAAGAGGAAACTGAGGCAAAGGGGCTTATAGGGGAATGAATTGCAAGTAGGCAGAGTAAATAGTATTATAATGGATGAATATTCCATTTTTTTATTTGTTTTTCACTTTTTTGTTCATTTGTTTTTGGTTAATTGAGCTCCACTCTCCTTCTATTCTTTAACCATATAATAAATAAAGTACAATGAACTTATATAGTAAGATGAACCCACAGGTTGGTAGAGGACTATGGACTACTTGCAGTTCAGAGACTCTCATGCTATTTTGAGTTTGATTCATAGCACTTAAAAATGAATCCTAAGTTTTAAATTTCACACAGTTTTGCATGAAATTTACATCTAGAGGTTTCAGTCCACGTATTACCATAAATACCAGCAAACTTATGACTGGGCAAATTGCACAAACTTTTTAAGAGTTTTCTTATTGGCAGAAATGTGATAATATATATTACCTTTCCTATCTACCTCACAAGGTTATTGTAAGGATTAATTAAGTTAATATATATGAAGTTTTTTTATAAATAGTAAAGTAGTATACAAATATTATTTATTGGCATTACTGCTCTAATTAAAGAAGGAATGGATAATAAAAAACTAAGTCAAAGCAAAACACACAAATTTAAGAAACAGTGAAACGCATGGTGTTTCCTAGGTGATATACTTTTCTGTGCTGGTGGACCCTCTGTAGATGACTTAAAATGTTATCTCTATTTCCCATTTTGATTTTGAAACCTGTAATAATAATGATAATACTTACCCTAAAACTAATATTTTCTTTAGATAAAATTTTTACCCATCATTCATAAATTTTGACAGTAATGTTTATTTAAAAATAGAGGGAAAAAAGTTTAAATAACCAAATATGAAAAAAATTCTTTTCAATATTATCTTACTATATTCTAGTCCAGTGGTTCTCAAACTTTAGTTTACATAAGATATTCTTCGGATTTTTGTTAAAATTCAAATTTCTGAGCTCCATTATTAATGGGTATGGAATGGAACTCAGGCATCCTGAGTTGTAGCTGGCCCACATACTTCAGAAAACTCGACTTTAGTTGATTATTATATGTCGGAATCAGCCAAGGGCTTTTAAAATACACAGATTCCTAGGTTCTACTCCCACATATCTAAAATTGGAGTCTCTAGACTGGTATTTGGGCTTCCATATTTTGCAAAAACTACACCAAAGATCCTAGTAATATTGCAAGGTTTGAGAATCATTACTCTTGTTTCTAGGGTATATTGTTAAAATATATTTACTGTCACACCTGAATTTATCCTCATCTCTCACATTATTCCTTAACTAAACATAATCTTACTTTATGTAGGAGGCCAGAGTTGATACTGCTATATAAGAAAAGTTTAGGCTTGAAAACCGATTAGAACTCTTGTCCTATAATGCTAAAATTAAGGAAGCGAGATATTGCTAAGCACCTTTCACACAAACTGTTTAATTTAATCTTTGCATACAACAACTTTGTTGCATACACTGGTTTTCTGCCTATGTTTTAGATGAAAAAACTGAAGCTTACAGAAAAAATTGCCAAATTCACACAGCTGCTAAGAGTCAAAGCCAAGATTTAGTCTCTGTTCTTTCTATTACATCCTATTATATTTTTTCCTCATTCAGTAAATCTTTACCAGGTTCCCATTGTGTTAAATGATAATGTCTAACTTTTGGCACCACATTAGCCCCTGACATGCTATCATAATTGTTGCTTAGACCATGTAAATTGAGTTTTGAAAAAATTTTTCTATTGCAAAATGGTTTTTAGCTGGATGTAGAATTCATGGGTTCTCAATGGTCAGAAGGGGTCTAAATTGTAGTGATAATTATAGTTAATGAATTGTTAAGGAACTTCGCCTATGGGATCTCTTAACCACCATGCCTTTGCTATGAAGTATTTCTTAACCCTATTTAAAGATGAGGAAAGAAAGATTTAGAATGGTTAAGTGGTTTACCGAAGATTGCAGATCTAGTAAGTGGCAGAACTGGGATTGAATTCTGGTTCACTCTAATTTTCACAGCAAAGTTAACCAGTAGTATATACAATTTCTGACTCTGCTTTGCAGTTATTCAGAATCAGGCTGTTCCTCCATTTGTTGAGCCACTAAATGCTAATTAAACTTTGTGGGATTTAAGTTTGTTTCCTTTGTAGGGAACAAACCAGTTTGCCACACTTAATCAGTCCAGTAATTTCTTAAATCTTGTAAAGTTTGGAATTGATAATGCATAATCCTCTAGGGAAATCAGTTGAAGTGAATAATCTTTTGTTTATATTTATATTTGAGAGTTAAAACTCTTGGATGGGACAGATTATTTGAAGGAAAATTCCAATTTTACCTATTATGACACGCTGTGAAACACAACAATTTCATGGCATATCCATTGTTATTGGTCTTAAAATATTTGGTTTGCATTTAAATTTCAATGAAAGTGTTAACAGCATCAATGCCTCAGTGCTTCATAACATCTAAAAACTGACTCTTGAGCATTCCTGATGTTCTTGTCTGAAAAAAACAATGCCTCATAGTATAAAATGACAGCACATGTATGCAAACTTGTACAATTTCTCACTTATCCTGTATGGATAGCTAAAAATGTAATTTTTATATTTTTTAAATATTTAATAATATGCAAATTATTGATATGCAGTAAAATGCAGTAAGGGCAGTCACAATTTAAAAGAGCTCTAAAATATATCCTTTAGTTGTGAAAATAATCATGATTTTGTAAATTTAGATATGTGTACACTTTTGGGATATTCTTAACACCTCTCTATGTATTAAAAGGTTCATTTTTTTTAAAGGAAGACCCACAAAATCTCTAACCAGGGTTATGGTCTTGTCTTTAGCAGACTTACAAGTTTATTGGAAATTTGGGGTTATATTTCAATTTTCTTCTCTAAGAGTGGTCTTTTCTCAAATGGCATTCTTTTAGAATACTGTCAGAGAAGAGAGAAGAATGAAAACCCAAAGTGAAGAACTTTACCTATACTCCTTTTTCAGATGTAGAAATTAAAACATGATTTTGTAGAACGTCCCCTTTAGCAGCAGAGCATGAATTGGAAAATTTGGTCAGTGATTTATTTAGGCTCCACAGGAAAAATCCTGTAGGGCATTTTTTGAATATCCTAAATTTATTTTGATTTGAGACCAGCTTACAGGGCATGTCTATCTTAAAACAGTTCTCCATTTTCCTGAGAAAAATTCCAGTGGAGCTAGTTGTGGGAGGTGGTATCCCAACAATGAACCATTTGGGGCCAAATAAGCACTTTAACACAACTTACTCCATCCCTTTCCTTAAACCAAAGTCTGTCTTGCCCACTGGGCATGTTTAACTTTGACTGCTAATTTTATTTCCCTGCAGAGGCAAAGGAGGCAGGAAAAAGGAGGGAAAATAACTGATGGCATGTGGGTGAGGTTTTGTCCAGGAAATAATTTTTAAAAGATCCTAGCCAGTATAGGGATGCAGGAAGCAGTTGGTGCCTGAAACTATATTACCCTTGCATCACAGATTAAGAAGTAGGAGCCAGTTGAAGTTAAATAACTTGCCTACAGTTACACAGCAGTTTTCAGTGTTGGGGTTGGTACTGGGAACTAGGTTATTCATTGCTCCAGTGAGGAAATTGGACAATCCAGCTTTTTTGCTGATAAAGATGCTCTCCTAATATCCCTACTCACGTTTTCTTTCCTTCTTTTCTTTGGCTACTGTCTTTTAACATCTAAAAAAGTATTCTGCTGATAATCTCAGGTGTAGAGGCTAGTTATTAAATATATTTAGACTTTTAAAACCATTAGAATTAGCTGAGCTGTAAGGACAGTGTCCACCACGTGAAGCCTTTTTTTCTCTATTTTATTTGGATCATGTAAGTAATGAAGATATAACTGGAAAAAGGAAATGTCATTGAATAAATAGTTCTGAGCTCATGGCAGAGTTCTAAACGTGAAAAATGTAATGGACACCTATTTAAAGACAGGCCATTTTTATTTTTACCTCCTAATTACAGTTAATCTGAGGTATTTGAAATGAACATAAGCTAAATTTTGATACCTTTTCCTCCTAAATTGATATCATTAGATGGATTTAAGTTGGAAAGGAGGACCATGGTAGAAATACGAATCAGAATTTTAGACTTCCATAAAGTTTATAACTGTCCCAGTTAGCCTCTGTGCTTGAACCCCAGGGGAAAGTTGCTATTTGGCCCTAGTATCACCCTAAGTTGTGAATATGTTTTGGATCAACTTCTCACTGATATGATAAATATTTGACTTAAAAATTAGTGAAAACTTTTTAATGTGGTATCTGTTGAATATTACCATTTACCCCTTAGTGTCCTTAGTAAGGTTCTAGATACCAAACAATTTCTACTAGAGTGTGAGTTTTACTCGGTTACCAGAGCTGACTAACTGAATATGCAACAGAACTTAGAAGTGATGCCATCACATCAGACATAGTACAAACACAGACTAGTGCACTACAGATCCTCTAAATTTTGATTTGGAAATATATGAATTATTCAGAGATCCAAAACCCCAGAGAAAATCAGGTAGAGGACCTTCATATAAACACACCCATAGCCTGTATTCCATTCTAAGAATTGCAGTTTGAACCAATAGAAGCCCGAAGCAGCTACACACATTTGATTTACAACTGTGTCCTGTCTACTTGCAAATAGCAGCTAGTTTCCTTGTAGGGTTGGCTGACAAGGCTGTTGTTTTTTTTATATATTATTAAGAGTCAATAGCAGCAGCACATGCAGGCTAATTGTTAGAATATAAAGCTTTGTTGGAGGTGGAACATAGGGTTCTAGTAATACTCTTAAATTCACACCAATTGACACAAAATAAATACGGTTCTCTAAGAAATATAGAAGGCTTAAACTAGAAATGACTGAAAAATACCATTTTCACAAGCATTTAGCTATTTCCACCTCCAAAAAAGTAGTTTTTACTTTATCTATATCTTCATAAGCCTTTAAGGTGAAAGATGAATGACAGCAACAAAATGACAGTGACCTAAAAGCATAAAATTGTAGTTAGTTTAGGTAATCCCGGGGACAAATATAATCCAGGGTATTTATTAGTGAGATAAAAGGGGAAAGAAATGCTGTGCTTTCATCATACTGCAAATAAAATGCTTAATTAAAATGCCCTACCAAAGTAAACAACTTATTTCTAAGAAATTACTGCTGAAGAAATTAAGACTAAAAAATAGAGAAAGAAATACAACGCCCGTTTTTGTACATTTTTCTTATATTTAGGTGCTTTTAAAAATTGTTTTTATGAACTCCTAAATTTGAGTGCAAGGGAGATGGGATTACATTAATTGCCATTTAAATACTCAGCTTCATGTTTGTAGGCATCTTTCTGAACCAGAACAAAAAGACCATAAAAAAATTTCTAGTGTGGAAATCATATTTCATGTGGTGAAATAGAAACTCAAGAAATTTCCTGATATAATAAGCTTGAGAGTGATTACCAAAGAAACAAAAGTTTCTTATCACTCGGCCTGAGGCAAATGTGGCATATTAAGCTTAAAATGAATTCTCTTTTCCTGAATGCACACAACTCTTATTAATGTCTTGGAAATTATGCCCAAATAAGATTTTCTGGATACATTTGAAAAAGCATCCACTGGGGTTTAAGGACTATTTTATGTCTATGGACATTTTAGTGTTTAGCCACAAATTAGTTTTTGCTCTTTTACCTCTTTCTTAGGTTTAACTTTAGATGAAATGACTTGTTTTTATCTTAAAAGAGGCCTTTCCTTTAGTGAGAGTTAGGTTCCCTGGTGGCCTGAAAGAGTTAATGCAGTTTCCAAGAGTGTCCAACTTACTTCCAGGGAGTAGTGTGTGCATGTGAGAGAGTCTGGCTCCAGGATATTTGTTCACATCCCAAAACCAATTTGGCACAACTTAAAATGTCTGCTAGGCAGAGGATTCAGTGTTGTTAGGCCACGCAATTAGTGCTTTATTTCATGAGCACCAAATTCACCCAATAGTGTTTTGATTTAAGGAAGAGCTTGAAATTCACAATAACGGGTTTCATTTATCAGAGCCATATGGGACTCAACATCTTTGGATATATTTGTAAGGCTTTCACAAAGAAGACTTTTTAGACATCTCAGATTTCACCGATTGGAGGGCAATCTGGATGAATATCTTTTTTTGGAAAAGATGAACTATCGTTTTCACATGTAGTCTCCAATTTCAGTATTCCTTGAGAAGCTCAAAACAACAACAACAACAACAACAAAACAAAACAGGAAAGCGTTAAGTAAGTCTCAGCTTATTAGCTTTTACTGGAAAATAAAGACCATGATTCTTAGATCTGGTTCAGAATGCCAAGTGAATCTTTGATGTTGAAATTTGGCCACCTAATCTTTGCAGTTTGTGATGGGGCATTTATGAAAGAGAAGGTGGGTTCTAAGTCTCAACATATTTGTGCACTTTTTGCTAGTTCGGTCTTGGTCATATGTCAGTGGATTCTTGGGACGCTTTCTGCAGCATAGCTAACTGATTAACATGATGATACTTTTTATATTTACTCAAGATTATTTCTTTGTTCACTCCTGATTTTCCATAATTTTCTGATCATTAGGGATCTATCTTAATGCAAAGTATTCTTGAAGATGTTAATATAAATTAATCTTTTAAAAAAACAAATCTCATATTTTTCCACTGATCTGTTAATTTAGATATTAAAAAAACAGATTGACCTTCATTTGGCAATTGTTGTTAATACTTTAATTTTTGGTTCACAGATTTTGTTTAGTGGGCTATAAATGGCCTATAAACAAATATTTCAGTGTTTACTAATTAAAAATCAGTATTTTTTTTAAGCATAGAGTGCTATTGTGTTATGAGACAGGCAACCACTAATTCTGTTAGGTTTTCAACTTTTTATTTTCTTAGTTCTCTAGTCTTTTTTTTTTTTTTTTTGGCACTCTTCATGCAGTATGGTAAGCCTGGTTAAGTCAGAATATTTACAAGTAGTAAATATTACTGTGACAGTTGCTACTTACCTATACAAAGTCTATGTAAACATCGTAAGGATGATAATTTTAATTTGTAAATTGTTATGGTAAACTGGAAATTACTTGAAATAACTCTTGCTCATCTTTAAATACCATTTTATTGCATCTAACATTATTTTACTATCCTTTATTAAAAAAACTTTTAACACTTTATTAGCTAATAGTGCTTATATTAGCAAGTTTTAGTTTTCACAGACAATATCCACTAAACTTTGTTCAGTTATGAGCATGTTGAATAATACTAAATTAAAACAAAATACAGTATATTCTTGGTTACCATTTACATTTTATATTAATACCAATGTCATATATTTTAATGCTATTTCAAAAATATTTAGAAACCCTCTCTCTGCTCCCTACCATTTCTTCTCCAATATATATCCTACTCTACAGAGAGAGCACTTAGGAATTTGTTATGTAGCCCATCTCTATCATGCACACCTATATTGCTATGGGTCATTGACCCCTATGCTATAGGCCAATGAGCCTGCTGGACAATAGGTAGAAAATTGGAATTATAGCATGAGCTATAATTATAGCTTAACTGCTTAAATCAACTTAACATGAATTGTGCTGAATGGCTGAATATATTCTTTCTATATTTATTTTGTAGTCAAATGTTCTAAAATAACTTTCTATAAAAAGTATAATACTCTTAGGTTTAAGTTTTATTATTCACCTTTGTTTACAAACATAGGTATTGTAATCCAATGAGGGTAAGTGTTTTCATCACTGAAAATTTCATTATGGAATACAGACTTTTTTGGTATTTTCTTTGTGAAACAGTATAGTTTGATGGCAACAAGGAAATTAAAGATGGCAGAAAGACTATATAGATATAGTGGTATCTAATAAGACTTTGGATTTATAAACTCTAGGCTGTGAGGAGAAGATGGGCACATGGATTGAAAAAGAAAATGTGGATGCGATGATCAATGGTTATTCTTTAATAATATTCCTAATGAAGGACATATGATGAGGCAAAGAAGAATACAAATTGATGGAGTATATGTATGAATGATAAAATAGTTGTATGCTGAGAGAAGGAGATTGTGAAGCAAAGAGATAAGAGTTATATGTAGCTTTGTGGCTATAATTGCCTTGGTTTTTGCATTTACCTTGAGTTTCCATTGTAGGTATTAATGGCTCCTGTATATAATGTTCTTAGTATAAGTAGAATCCATAAAGCATTTGGTTTGAGCAGGAATATTTATTTGCTTGTGAGGATAGACCTGTTTGACTTTGAAATGTAGTGTGCTATTACCTTATGGTCAGAGTAAAGTTTATATTGTTTTTATTCAAATTACAATATGAGTATATTTAAGAGGAGCAGATATGTGTGTGTTTGTGCATGTGTGTGCATGTACACACATGTAAGGAAGGACATTTTCATTTCTGTATATTTCTCCTGTGTTTGCTGCTTTTTGCTTGCCAGTTTTTCTTTGTCTCTATCATTTTATCACTGAAACCATCTGTGTAGAAAATAGTATGCTTGGTTTTATCATTTTAAATTGTTTTCTATTTTTGTTATTTTGTCCTCCCAACTTGTTTTCACCTTAAGTATTCAGGCTCAAGTATAAGGCATTTTAGTTTTCACATTCAAGAGGTGTTTCTGCTTTCTTTCCCGTCCGTTTGTCCATATGTTTACTGGTTTCTGATAGGCTGTGCAGTGAGACAGCAGTTTACTATCTGTGTGTGTGTGAAATTAGCTAATTGGTGTTAGCAGAAATATTTTCACATGTTTTATAAGCAAAGTGCAGCAAGGTATATAAATGTAGATATGATCCAGACACGCGCACACTCACGACTGTCACTGCTCATGCATAGGCGCTCAGAAGTAATTAATGTTAATAAGATTTTAATGTGCTTGTGAGATCATAATGAGGAGAAATGAATGCTCTGATTAGGAAAAGGTAACTGTGTGTGTGTTTTGGCTTAGAACAAGATTTCAATTTTTATAAACCGCAATTTTAGAACTTGTTTGTGATTGCATCAATTGGTTTTTATTTTCAAATTAGAGGTCTGTTTAGCCATTTGAATGATTAACCAAATAAATGGGTGAAACCCTGATCATAAGGAATAGTGCAGGTTTTTCATTTGCAAGGCAGTGTTAGTATACAGCAAGGCTGTGATGTCTTTTGCCAATGTGCCATTTTAATGTTGTTTTTTTAAAAGAAGCTTTTCCAGAAGCCACTTGTGAATATAGTATTTATTTTTATAAATGTAGATGCTATCTATACGTTCCAGAGACACCAATCAGACACTGTAACTATTGTGTCTGAGATACATTCCTGCCAGTCAGTGATGGTGTATTCCGTGTCTAAAGAATCTATATCATGCTTCTCAAAATGTTTATTTGGAAATGTAGCACTACCAATATTTTTATTCATAAATATAATCTTTACAAATTTTAGAAGCTTGATATATTTTATGGTGAAGTCAAACATTTCAAGGTAAGTAAAGATCTGTCTGATAATAGATTTGAAGGCAATGCAGTCAACAGCTATATTATAGACTGGCTTAAATCCAGCTGGACACCAGGGGTCCTTCTCCACAACAAATTTTCTGAAAATATTGTTTACAGAGCTTTGACATACATTTGCATTATTATTATTTTTTAATTATAGTATAAATCTAAATATCTATTAAGGGCCCTTGCCCTCTAGCACATAGAAATTACTTATGCATTTTTAAATATAAATTGTGGATTGAGATATTCAAGGATTGTAATCCTTCTTAAAAAGTAAGCAGCATCGTACTGAAATGCAAGGAAAAGTCTTAGATATGAACTGGATATAGGATAGTGTAGTTTATTTCCAACCAAACCCTACAGATGTGTGTTTTAGGCTCTTTTAGGTTTTGGTTATATTACTGTGATCTTTCTGCTGGGGTTTAAAAATGATGATGAAGGAAGAGAAACTGTTAAAGTTTGTTCTACTCAACAATTTTGAGATTTATGTGATTCCCAGGGTTGTTTTAGATATTGCTTTACATAGAATCCAGAGAATGATGATTATTTGATAAAAAGAGGTATTTGCCTTTAATACCCAGTTGTTTAGTTGACTTTCTTGGATATTATCACATTGAAGCATAATTAGAAACAGTTTTCCCAGTGCCAGTTTGTAAGGGAATTCATCAATGTTTCTTCTAGTACTTGCATGATATCCTATAGTAAGTTTTTCTATACAGTCAGATGTATTTCTATATTCTTCTATTCTGTGCCATTGACCTGTCTATGCATGTGATATTATCACATTATTTTAATTATAGAAGCTTTATAACTTGTTTTTATATCTGAAATGTTAGCTTCCCTCCCTGCTTCTACCATTACTCTTTTTCAGTGTTTTCTGGCTTTTCTTGCATACTTGTTATTCCAAGTGAACTTTATAATCAACTAGCAGATCTTGAGGAAAAAGAAAATCCCTGATGGCATTTCTATTGAAATTATAAGGAATTTATGAATTAACATCACAACAATTAATGTTCTTATGAGGGTGAATCTTTTTATCCAAGAATCTGTTTTTTATTTCCATTTGCTCAGTAACTGTTGTATCTTGCTGAAATGTTCTAATTTTCCTTTTGGCTTTAGGTTTAAACATTTATTATTAAGTCTGCCTTTTGGTATTGCATCCACTTATTTATTTACTTGCTTACTTTCTTACAGCCTTACTATACTAAACAGGCTCTTTTCTTCTATATTTTCTAGCTGGCATTTGTTTCTGTGTAGGAAGGCTGTTGATTTTTGTATGTTAACTTTATAGTCTCCTATTTTGCAAAATTTTCTTATTGTTTGTGGTAGCCCAAGGTGGATTTGAGTTCCCCTTCTAGTACAATGTTTGATCTTTGTAAGACCATGGACAGCTTATTCTGAGTGTCTTAGTCAATTTGGGCTGCTGTAACCTCACAGTTCTGGAGGCTGGAAGTCCAAGATCAGAGTGCCAGCACGGTTGAGTTCTGGTGAAGACCTTCTTCTGGGCTGCAGACTGCTAACTCTTCATTGTGTTTCTGGTAGAAAGAGATCAAGCTAGCTCTTGGGGGTCTCTTTTATAAGAGTACTAATCCCATAAACCTCATGACTTTATCTAATCCCAGTTACCTCTCAAAAGCCCCATCTGCTAGTGGCATTACATTGGGGGTATAGTTTCAACATATAAATTTGGGCATGAACATTCAGTTTGTAACACTGAGCTATTTTCCTCATCTGTAAAATGCAGATAAGAAAGCCAAACTAGAATGATGGAGAATAAATAAGATCATATCGTAAACACCTAATATTTTCCCCAGCACATTGTAGGCACTCTATTTCTAGTATCCATTAATAATGTAATGTAATGTAATGCAATATGTCACTTGAGCAATTATTTTTAAAGTATGGATAATATGCAATTGAATTATTGAAGGTTTAGCATATCAGGGTTTTTACGAAGAATGGAGTGAATTAAATTAATGAACAGAACTTAAACTTCTTGATAAACATTTGTGATTTAAGACTCTAGGGGCAGGGCGCAGTGGCTCACACTTGTAATCCCTGCACTTTGGGAGGCCAAGGTGGGTGGATCACTTGAGGTCAGGAGTTCGAGACCAGCCTGGACTGGACAACATGGTGAAACCCCATCTCTACCAATAATACAAAAATTACCTGGGTGTGGTGGCAGGCAACTGCAATTCCAGCTACTCAGGAGGCTGAGGCAGGAGAATCGCTTGAACCCAGGAGGCGGAGGATGCAGTGAGCTGAGATTGCACCACTGCACTCCAGCCTGGGTGACAGAGGGAGACTCTGTCTCTAAATAAATAAATAAATAAATAAATAAGAAAGACTTGAGGAACTGAAGATTAATTCTGAGATTATGATATTTTGTAGCTATGCGCACATATTTCCATTACTTCTGTTTTAATTATGATTATTGCATGTAATACTCATTAGCCCTGGAGAGTAAGTGGAAACTTCTTGAACATCTAGAGTGATTATTCAAGGCAATTCATACAGTGTGTTGATTCTAGCACTTGTTATTGTGCCCTACCTCAAGAATCTGACAACTTTACCATATTTTCTTAGTGAACAGTGTACTAACTTGTAAATAAGTTTATGTGGAATAAATATTAAACATATGTGAACTCATGATGGTATCAGTATAAACAGAATAATAGTGATTGTCAGCCCTTTATATAACTTTTTTTATAAAGTTGGTGAAAACGCTAATTGAAAAAAATGTAGTTCATGTATTATAGCAGTCCAATAACTTTTAAGCTTCAACTCTAATAAAATGGTTATTCACTTTACATTCTTTTAATTCACTTGATACAATCTATTGTTAAAGAAAAGGAATATCAAAATTTCAGGGTTCAACTTTTTTTTACCTCATGGTTGTTGTGAGGACCAGGTGAGATGATTAACATAAAAGACCTAATAAGGTGCCGAGCTCTTGATAGGTGTTTGAGAAAATGTTAGTTGTTTTCATTTCTATTATCTTGTTATTACCATTGCTGGTTTCTTCATTCCCAACTACCTCAACCCCCATATCATCTACCCCACTCTCTCTCTCACTCTTCATATATATATATATATATATATATATACACACACACACACACACATATTCTTACTGATAATGTTGTTCTATACTTAGACTAAAATGTATGAAATATGTGCCATAATGGTCATTAAGAATAGACATAAAATAATCGTCTGTAATTTTCCAATATTGAAGTTAGCTAAGAGTGAAGATCCTATGAGTGAAACATGTGAAAACTTTAGTTACTTGTGGATAAAATTTCTGAGGAGTTGTGAGGATGAAGAATAATTTCTCATAAAGAATTTTAGGCACACTTTATATATAGTTTATGGTTTACCAGAGTTCTGGCTTAGCACTCAGTGTGATTATTCCTCCATAGCTTCATATTGCTCTTTTATTCATTCATTCATATCAAAAACAACATAGAATATCTATTAGCAATAACACGTTGTTCTAGATAGTGTGAGATATACAAATAACAAGATTAGTTATATGAATTGTCTCTATATTTAAGAAGTCTATTAGGTGATTCAGATAGGGAAGCAATGAGGTTATGTGCATGGACTTTGGAGCCAGATTTTCTGTTTTGAATTCCTGCTCTGAAACTCACTAGTTATTTCACTTCAGGCAAGTTATTTAGCCTGGGTTTCAGTTTCCTTATCTACAAATTGAGGCTAAAAGTAGTACCTATTGGGTTGTCCTGAGGATTAAATGATTTGGTACAAGTGCATCATTTAGAGAAATACCGTGGTAAGCTCTTTTCAAGATACTAATTTTAGTTTCTTTTGATAAATACCTAAAAGTGAGAATTCTGAATTGTATAACAGTTCTATTTTTAATTTTTTGAGGAAACTTCAGACTATCTTCCATAGTGCTTCACCATTTTGCATTCCTACCAACAGTGTACAAGGATTCAAATTTCTCTACATCCTCATCAACACTTGTCTTTTGTTTTATTAATAACAGCCCTGACAGGTGTGAGGCAATTCCTCATTGTGGTTGTAATTTGAATTACTCTGATGATGATAAGTGATGTTAAATATTTTTAAATATATCTCTTGGCCATTTGTATGTCTACTTTAAATAAATCTTTATTCAAGTGTCTCTTAGTCTGGGCTGCTCTAAGGAAATACAGGGTAATTTATGAACAACAGAAATTTATTACTCGTAGTTCTGGAGGCTGGAAAGTCCAAGGTCAAGGCACTGGCAGTTTTTGTATCTGGTAAGGGCCTCTTCTTCATAGATGGTGGCCTCTGTGCCCACACATTGTGGAAGGGCAAACAGCTCATCATCTCTTTTTAAAATTACTAGTCCCATTCATGAGTGATCTGCCTTCATGATTTAATCACCTCCTAAAAGCCCTGCTTCTTAATACTATCACATTGCAATTAAGTTTCAACGTATGAATTTGGGGGAGGGGTAATATTCAGACCTTAGCAAATTCCTTAGTGCATTATTAAAAGTTGGATTATTAGTTTTTTTTTTCTTTTTGCTCTTAAATTATAGGAGTTCTTCATGTATTTTGGATATTAACCCCTTATCAGATATATCAGGGAATTCACCCCTGCTCGCCACGCCCCAGGCTGCAGACCAGTAATGGTCCCTGGCCTGTTAGGAACTGGACTGCCCAGCAGGAGGTGAGTGTCCGGCCAGTGAGCATTACCGCCTGAGCTCTGCATCCAGTCAGATCAGCAGTGGCATGAGATTCTCATGGGAGTGTGAACCCTATTGCGAACTGTGCATGCAAGGGATCTAGATTGTGGACTTCTTATAAGGCTCTAACTAATGCTTGAGGATCTGAGAGGGAACAGTTTCATCCCAAAACCATCCTCCTGTCCTTGGATAAATTGTCTTCCACAAAACCAGTTCCTGGTGCCAGAAAGGTTGGGAATCACTGAGATATAAGGTTTGTAGATATTTTCTTCTATTCCATAGGTTGCCTTTTCACTATGTTGTTTGCTGTGCAGTCAAGATGTATAGTCTTACCTGTTTATTTTTATTTTTGTTGCCTGTACTTTTGATGTTACAGCCATGAAATTATTACTATGATGAATGTTATGAAGCTTTTCCTGTATGTTTTATTCTAAAAGTTTTAGTTTCAGGTCTTACATTTAAGTCTTTAATCGATGTTGAGTTTATTTTTGTGTATGTTGTAAGATAAAGGTCCAATTTTATTATTTTGCTGTTTTTCCCAGAACCATTTGTTGACGAGACTATCCTTTTCTCATTGTGTATTCTTGACACCCTTGTAAAAAATTAGTTGACCATTTATGTGTAGATTTATTTCTTGGCTCTATATTTTGTTTCATTTGTCTATATATCTATCTTTATGCCAGAACCATATTGTTTTGATTATTTTTGTTTTGTAATATATTTTGAAGCAATAAAATGTGATGCCTCAATCTTTGTTTTTCTTTCTCAAGATCGATTTGGCTATTCATGGTATTTGTGGTTCCATGTGAATTACAGAAATGTAGAATTGACTCTATAGATCACTTTGGGTATGGACATTTTAACAATATTAAAGTCTTCCAATCCATGAACACAGGATATCTTCCATCTTGAATTTCTTTCATCAATGTTTTGTAGTTTTCAGTATATAATCTTTAATCTCCTTAATTGTCTTCCTATTTTATACTTCTTGGTGCTATTTTAGATGGGAATGTTTTTCCAATTTTTTTTCAGATGGTTCCTTGTTAATATATAGAAATGCAGCTGATTTTGTCTGTTGATTTTGTGTCCTACAACTCTATTGAATTCATTTATTAATTCTAACAGTTTTTTAATGGAGTCTTTAGGATTTTCTGTATATAAAAGCATAGACTCTACCAACTAGACAATTTTACTTTTTCCTTTACAATTTGAATGGCTTTTGTTTCTTTTTCTTTCCTAATTGCCCTGGGTAAGACTTCCAGTACTATGTAGAATAGAAGTGCCGAGAGTGAACATCCTTGCTGTGTTGCTGATTTTAGAGGAATAGCTTTCAGTTTTTTCCATTGAAAACTGATATGTAGCCTTTTCATATATGTGCTTATCATGTTGATGTACTTTACTTCTGTTGGTACTTTGTTGTTTATCTAAAGGAATTGAAATCGGGATCTCAAAAAGATTAGCAATGACCAAGATGTGGAAACAACCTAAATGTCCTTCTATGGATGAATGGATAAGGAAAATGGTATATATACACAGTGGAATATTATTCAGTCTTTAAAAAAGAGGAAATACTGCAATGAGACAACATGGCTAAAACTTGAGGACACTGTGCTAATTGAAATGAGCCAGTCATAGAAAGACAGATACTACATGATTCCACTTATATGAAGTATCTAAAATAATTAAATTCATAGAATCAAGGAATAGAATGATGGTGGTTGCCAAGGGCTGAAGGAAAGGGAAAATGGGAAGTTACTAATTAATGGACATAAAGTTTCAGTTAAGCAGATGAATAAGTTCTAGAGATCTTCTGTATAGCATTGTACCTGTAGTCAACAATACTGCACACTTAAAAATATTGTACTATTAAGATTTGCTAAGAGGGTAGATCTCATTTTAAGTGTTCTTACTAACATAAAATAATGTAGTAAGGCTTCAATAAATGTTAATTCACATTAAAATTATTATTAAATATAGCAGGAAAGTTAATGTTATATAACCGTAAACACAAAGTAATACAGTATTTAGAGGATGGTAATATCTTTACTGTGACTGGGAACAGTTGGGATCGGGGAGATTCACTGAATGCATTAGTATTTAAATTTTGAAGTATGATTTCTATAGTGTAAAAGAAAAAATAAAAAGGTAGAGGTGAGTAAAAATTAAAACTTCTGGGGACTTTGCAGTCAGAAAGGTTCCTATCAGAGGCCCAGCTCCACTCCTCACTATTAGTGTGACCCTAGATAAAACAATCTCTGTTAGGATTCTACCTCCCTGAGTCATGGTCTGATAACTCTCTCAAGACAGCATACTACAGCAATAGCAGGAATAACCTTGTTAATTTCCTTTTCTCAGCAATTGCTGTGCTGTGCCTGTTGTGCAATGTCTGCAAGCAAATATTTTATATATTTTGTTTAGATTTTTAGTTGTTTAAGGCAGGAGGTGTATGCTATTTCTGTTACTTCATCATTTTCAGAAGCAGAAAACCAACATATTTCTATTTTACTTTTCAATGAGTTGGGACTTACTGTCTAATTCTAGTAGCACAGTGTAGTTAGTTACCTTTTTTGTACTAACTAAATGGCAGTACAAGTTTTAGTTTACTTACCTGCTTCCTTACTAAACTGGCTTCTTTGAGAACAGGTACTGTGTTGAGCTCATCTTTGTCACCACTACCAACCCACTATCAAGTTTGGAGTCTGGAACCTATCAGGCAGTTAATGAATACCTTTTACATTTATTTAATTACTGTTAATTGTAGTTCTGTGCCACACTGTGAAAGACTGAATGCTATGCTTAGAGATACATTTTATTCTGTAAACAATCTAAGGTTTTTGAGGAGGTGAGGGAAATTCTTTGAGCCTTTCTTTTTAATAGAAGGTAATTCTTGAAGCATAAATATGGATGAAAGAGGTAAGAGGCTGAAAATAATTAGATTATTTAGGATTCTAGGCTATAATAGTGGAAATAAAGAATTGACAGGATCTAGTGATTGATTGGATGGGCATTGCTGAAAGGAAAGGTGAGAAAAATGACTTAGATTTTCACTAATTATGGACCAATTGTTTTAGAATGAAATAGTAGGGATTTTTTTGGTCTTCAGAACTTATGTGGAAGATTTTAGCATAAAATTTTGGGAGCAAAGTTTCATAATGCAAAGTAGTAATTAATGGTAGGGATTTATTTAGTTTACTAGAATTAAGTTTGAATTTAAAATATTTTATAATTCTTAGGGAAAGGTTTATTTTGAGTTAAATTTTATTGTATACGGTTAATTTTTAATTATATTATAAATATCTCCTTATATACAATTTTTTCTCATTATAATCTCTTATCTTTGTTTATAGTTATAAATATTTTTAATTTCCCTATGCTTTCTTTAGTCTTTAGAATTCTTTGGTAATGAACTTAGAGCTAAAAGTTAATTTTGTGCCATTGAATGGTACAGCACTTGTAGCATGACCTAGGGTGAGAGTCATTTTTTCTCAAATATATTTTAACGTTGCTTTTGTAGTATGAGTTTTCATTCAAATTATTTTCTCTTTTTGAGAGAGGTTGGAAGAGCTTCTGAGCAAGTGGATGGTAGGAGTCGGGAATAAGAAATATCAGAACAATTAGGGAAACCCTCCAATGCCAAAGATTTATCTGTAAAACATCGTATATTAGTAGCCATTTGAAAAGTTAAAACACTTTTAACAAGAACTTATTTACAGTAGTTTGAAGTAGATTATTTAGAACAAACAAGTTGAATACATGGAAAAGAAATATTTCTCCCAATTAGTTATTTTCACTTTGACATAATCTTTTGAGGAAGCAATGCTTTTCTTAAACTGTGTTCTAACCTGAAATAAATGACAGAATGTTTGAATCAATGACAGCATCCTGACAGGATAGGGGAATATTTTTGATACTGTGTTCCAGTTCTCATTTCAGTTTCTTACATGAACTATTTGTTACTCCTGTTATAGAAAATGACACTGATAATGACTGACATTTATTGAATCACCCCTTGTGCTTATAACTAAACTGTGAGGTAAATATTATCTTATTATTCTTCACAACAATCTCATAAGACAGATATTATTTTCATTTGACCAATGAGGAATCTAAGGCTAAATGAGATTAAATAACTTCCACAAAGTCACGCATCTGGTTATGCAGAGTTCATATGAGTCATTGATGTAATTGGTAGAAATGATTGCCAAGTCTATTGTGTGTACTGTTAAGGGCAATGAAAAGAGCCTTTCACGTTTATCCTGTAAACAGAGGAAGGTGAGCTTTTTGGAACAGTAGTGGAGAAGGGCCAGAGAGGGAGAGCCAGTGTTCTTTTTAGATTGCTATGAATGAGTGAACTTAATCAGAAAAGGCCGATGCCCCAGTGCAGCATTGTCTTTCAAAACTTTAGGTGCTGCTTTTGACCCTCTTTAAACATGGATATCCAAGGCAGCTTAAGAGTTGGATTATGCGTTGCTGTGACCAACTGAGGGGCCAAGAGCAATGGCAGCTGTATGGCAGGTTCTTATGACTCTTAATTCTATTTGGAGCACTTCCTGTGGGCAAACTCTTACCTGACACAGCTATTCGAGATCCTTAGAACCCATGAGACCTGATGCCATGCAATGAGTATTCCGTCAGTTACATCACTGAGACCTCAAAGTCTGTGATCTTAACCAGCATGCTACTTGGTATAACAAGCATATTTATTATTCATTGTATCTACATCAGTTACAGAAAAGCCCAATACCTATTCTTCCATACAGTTTTAAACTCTGGGGTGATATAGAGCTTCAACTCGGAGGAAAAAATAATCAATTATATAATATGGTCTCTTATGAATGGGAAACCCTCAAAACTGTATAACCAATTAGAAATTATTCAAATTTCTTTTACTCGCAAGAATGTTTAAATGTGGGTGAATTGCAGAGATAAAAGAAATAAACCCTGATATTTCTCAAGTTCTGCCATAAAGAAGTCTAGTTTATTGCCTTAGTTTCAAAAGAATAGTTTTCTAAGTATTTCAAAATGTCCGGCTGGCTGCCCCTTCCATTCTCTTTGGAAGCTTCTTTGTCATCCTCGTGGCACATCCCTCTGGCATGCATGACCAGCTGCAAGCTAAACCCTGTGGAATAAGAATTCTTTCATCCCTTTGTGTGATGTGTTTCATTTTCAGAGTTTGGATGATCCTCTTCGGCAGCAGCAGCAGGCATTGTTAGTTTCAATAGGCTGCCTGGATGCACAAGAACAGTCATCATAGAGAGACAGGCTCTCAGGGTCCGTCCCTTCATGTCATGGTGCTGTGTTAGATCACTTTCCTCTGCTGGATTAATGGTCAGAGAAAAAGGGAAACAAACTGTACCCAAAGGAATCCAATTAAAGCACTTGAACTTCACTGACGTCTATCCTATTGTTTTCTTAACTTCCTAACCTATGGTTAATTATTCTGACCAGTGGAAAGAAACAGCATAAACATGGGAATTATCTTAAATTCCCTACTTTGTTTAGTTTGTAAAGGCATCAAAATTTTACTGTGCAGGATGGAATACTAATTTGGTATAGTTGAAATTTTTTTTGGCTAATCTTTCTATTTCTTCTTTACTCTCCTCACCAAAGGCACTGCCAGGACTTACCGTACAACACTCCTTGGCTTCTGGAATTTTATCTCTGCTCACAGTCTACATTACAACATTAGTTCATTCTGGGCACTTTAGCTTCCTTGAATCTCCAGTTGATCTCACACCCATGCCTATGATATTCTTCTCCTGGTTAATCAAGAATTCTCTATTTCTGCTCCGTCATCCATGCCACTGTAAGTAGGAAAGTAATTTAGGCTTTTGAATCACAGCCTTGTCATTTGTGAAATGACTTCCCTTGACTCTGAAATTCTCTGTCCAAAATATAAGCTAGGATTTCCAGTAATAACAATTTATATGTATAAGATGATTGATAGTTTGCAGAGTGTCTTTATATATTTTATTTTATATAATTCTGACTACAGTTTTGTGAGGAGAGAACCATTATTATTATCTTTTTTTTTTCAGAAAAGGATACTATAGCTCAGTGAGGTGAATTGATTTACTCCATCACATAAGTAGTAACTGCCCGAACCTGAACTTTAAATTCAGTTTTCCCCACCAAGAGGTGATGGTTTTCTCTAGTAGGGAGAAAGTTTCTTTCTTAAAACCTTAATTTCTTTATTAATTTTAAAAGTTTTTTTTATTTTTTATGTGAGTATATATGTTTATGCTTTGGGTAGGAGTCTTCTTATGCTGAATTGAGTTTGGGGTGGAATTTTGTGCTCTTAGTTTTTGTCAGTGAAGAAGTCTCCTACAATTTCTAATTAAAGAAAGATAAGAAGGAATGTATTACTTTTCTAGTGTAGAATTTTGGTATCATTGTGAACCTCCCTGCTAAATTTGTTTGTATTTTTCCATGGTAAATCCATTCTTCCAGAAAGCTAATATACCTATTAAATAGTATTGTTTATAATTAGGAAATGGTAGGTATACAGTAGACTCCCTCTTAGGTTATTCCTGCTTCTGGCCAACAGAATACTCTGAAAAAATGGTGTGTTTCTGTTCATCTGTTTACCTGCTGCCATGCTTATCTACAGTCATTTGTGTTTGTTTTTGAATTTGTTTATGCCAAATGAATGTGCAATTGTAATTTAATTATGCAAACTGATAAAATATGAGTTCAAAAATATAAAGAGTTGTTGATTTTATGAAATTTAAGTTGGTGCTTTGGAAAGACTTTTTAAAGGTGAGTTGCTAAAACAAATTGCAGTTTAAAAAGGTGTGGGCTAGACAACTGTGAAAGATTGCCTGAGGTAGGGGTGAAAAAATGTAAAAAGCTGGAAGGATCCCTCATTCAGTTTGCTTTCCAAGTACCTTTAAGCTGTCATTGAGTTTAAATAAACCAAAACAGGAAATCATAGGTGATACATCATGGTGTAGTTTAAGCAAGAAGGAAAACATGAAACTTTATATAGCAGATCAAGAGTCAGTGACAGCCATTGGTCCTACATCAAAGGGTTAGTAAATAATTTCATGTTTTAACTTTAAATAAGTTAAATATGTTAAAATCAATTTATTCAGTTTCTTTCTGTATCTCAATGTCCTTTTGTGTAAAATGAAAATGAAAATAACTTTACCCAAGAATATTTTTTTTTTTTTGTATATGAGGATTAAATGAGATGTATAGTACATAGAGCAATGCTTGGTACAAGTAACATACTAAAAAAAGTTAGCCATCATCATTATCAATGACAATCTGAGATCATCTGTTGTAGTGTTTATGTATACTTATATTACAAATATAATGTTATGGATCATTGCTGCCAGCTATTGGAATATTTTAGCAGCAACACATACTAGTTCTGTTTAGGTTAGCAGAGACATTCTGTCCATTTTCTACCTCCAACCTACCTTTTTTTCTCAGGATTTATGAGAAGAGCAAGTTTGATGGTAACTACCTATGTCAGTACGTGCTGAGACCTGAGATCACATGTGTGACATAAGTAAAAGCGCTATGTGTAGTCTCAACTGAATCCTATCAGAAAGCTTGGGATATGGAGAGTTCGTGGCATATTAGTGGAGGTGTGTGGAATGCTTACACAGTACTCACCCACACTGAACCTAGATCTAGCCAACGTGTTTCTGACTTAAACGAACACTCAGCTTCACACAGTTCTCTCCCGATTGAAAACAGAGGAAACAAAGGAAAAAGAAACAAAAGTCGTGACAAAAAAGACTGTTAGCTAAGCTAGAATAGTTGTGTGGTAGTAGAACACTGATTCTAATAGTTGGCATTGTACTGTATGCCTTCCATTCCTAAATGCTTCTGCTGACTGCTAGGTTGTAAGTTTTCATTAATGAATCCACATTTAGAAACTGCTTTTTTTGGAGGAGAATTAAGCTTTTACCTGCTTTCTTTCTGAATGCTGGGGCACATATTTTTGTGTAATTTCATATCCTGTTTTCCTCCCTAAGCATGTGCTCTTTGTAGAAAAGAGACTCACACTTCAGAGTAGGAGACAGCATCAAGACTGCTGAAAGTTTCCTCTTGGTTTGAATGTTATAGTGGTTGATTCAGTGCTGGAGGCATAAGAATGAATGCACTATCAAACTGTCAACTTTTTTTTTTTTCAAACAAGCAATGCAATACTATCTACAGTGATTTACATGGCATTTTTCTAATTTTTTAAAAAATAAAGCAAGTAGGTAGCAAAGTGGAATTTGAAACATTTTCCCAAGTTGAAAAAAATTTAAATGGTATAATCTAAAGTTAAGTGCCCAGTTGCTTTCTTAAATATTATAAGTATCACTATTGGTCACTTTCGGGGCCTATAATGGAAATTAGGTCTATTTGTTCTTCAGATTATAGTCTATCTTTACCTGTCGTGAAGCTTTTGGATAAAAGAAATACAATCATTCTATATCGTGCCTTATCATGGCATTGGAATTTCCACAGTTCATTCCTATCTATGAATATTATTCAAGTTTCTTCTCTACTCTTTCTTGTGCTTTTATTTCAGTCATTACAAATTCTATCAATTTCAACTGTCCTCAGCCTTTTGCCCTCAGATGTGTATTCTTCATATATTTTCTTTATTCTGCTGTGTGTCATCATTTTGTTAACATGTATCCTTTTTAACCTATACTGTTTATTCTTTAGTTGGTTGATTTAAATTTCACCCGTTTTGTCTCTTTAGGTATACCATTTCCATACAGTTATTTTACATGAAGACAACAGTAAAACATAAAAAGTAGGCAGCAGCCCAGAAAATCGCAGCCTTTATATACTATACAATACATACTATTTATATAATGGGTTAGGTATTCAGGCTTCTATCTAGTAGGGATCTACACATCATACTCTTCTGTTAAACCTGATATTTTTAAGGAGGTAAGATTTAAGAGGATTTCCTTCTTTATATGACATACCTGTCAGTCAACATGATATTCAGAACCCATTGTTAAGTACCTTTCTAGGCAGAGAAAAGAACCAGTTTCAGTTTGGATATGTTTGAAGTGCTGTGTTCTTGACTCATATGCCTGGATTGGCCCAGCTCCTTGATATTTTACATTTTAAGTTGTGGATTAATGCATATCTATAACTGGTCCAGGATGTATTGCTAAACTTGAGGTGATGGGTTAATCCACCACTATTGTTTTGCTGCAACAATAAAATTGCGGCAGGCTAGCAAGTTAGCTTTAGTGCATATTAATGGCGAGCATATCATGGTACATGAAGTTGATACGATAGAAGAAGTGTACAATTCAAGTGCATGTGCATGTGCAATGTTTCTGTTCTATTTTGCTTAGAAGCCAGTTTGAATATCATTATAGTGGTATAAAAGGCAGTAACTTGATCAGAGTTCTAGGTAAGAAAGTTTTTATTTCTCTGTATCAGAGGGATGTGCTGTGGAGGACAATCTGAAGATAAGAATACCAACAATAGAATCATCTTTTTTTTTTTTTTTACTGATTTTTCAAATAGCATATGTCTTTCTGTTATGTTGAAAATTTTCACTGTGTTATCCATTGAATGATTTATATGCCCAAATAAAGATTAGATTGATGTTCCGTATAAAGATCTGCAGAAAAATGTGTGTATATATATAAATTTTTTAAGAGGCACTCATGACATTTGACTAACTCGATCAACTATAATAATAAATATCATTGAATTATTGGCCTCATCAAGTAGTAGGCAAATAATTGCTTCCCGGGTTTGTGGGTGTGATATTATTTCTAATTTTATTTAATCATTTACTAATTCACTGTGCATCTATTATGTTGGGGATAGTATTTGGCATAGTAGGGAATGTAAAGATGATTAAGACACAGTCCTGTCTACTAAAAGTGTGCAGTCTGGTGGTATGGTATAGTACATTTCTTAGATTTGGCCCTTACTATAATAATGTGTTAATTCCTTAATTATTTCACATGATAAGAGTCTAATTATTATTGTTATGGTCATATTTAATTTACATCTTCAGTGTTCTGAATAATAATTTAATGTACTACCAACATATTTAAACAGACTATAATCCCTAAAAGATAAAGATAAAATATTATAAATATAAATGTAAAATATTATGGTAAAAGCACTTTAATAATTTTAAATGGTTTTAACTGGTTTTTAATCTTTTCACTCTCTTTTGTTGGATTCCTTTATTTGGGAGAAGACAGGGGAAGGGACATTTGGCATTTGGTGTTGAAAATCCAGTGTGAATAGAAACCCGAGAGGAGACTTTTGATTTTCTGATTTCTAGTTCCATAACATGCAAGGTGAAGAGCCACAGGAGATGAAGATGGAGGGATAAGTAGGTGCCTATCATGAAGTGCCTTATATATGCTATACTAAGAAGTCAGAAATGAGGTGGGATCCTCTGAAGGGTTTTAAGTGAGGAAATGACTTCTTAGTTCTATTGAGAAAAAGCACTTCAGCAATTGAGTGTGGAAGAAGGGGTATGAAGAAAGCAGACCAGAGTCTGTGAGACTGTTAGAAGACAATTAATGGAAATCAGGGTGAAGTATAGTGAGGGCATGAACTGAAACAGTGACTGTGAAGCTATGAGGAACCTAAGAGGAATGGATTCAAGGGATTTTTAGGAAGTAGAATTGATAAGATTTGGGTACTGTATCGGTGAAGGGGTGGAAGTTGGATGCTGTTAAAGAAAAAGAGAAGTTTAGGATGACTCTCAAGATGTTTTTCTCGAGTACCTGGGTGGTGCCATTTGCAGAAAAAAAAAAGGACTATTTTAGGAGTAGGAGGTTGGTGGCCAGCCAGAGGTCAGGAAGGAATTGAGGGTAGAAACTTAGGAAAGATATAAAAGATTCATTTGAATTTCAAACACAGATTTACCTTGCTTTGAGAAAATATGATGTGATTCTGTAACCTGAAAGAGTAAAAGTTAGGATAAGTGTGTTATGCTGAAGCTGAATAAGGGGAATGAGTTTCATGGGAGAGTATTGATTAGGGAATTTCTACTAGTAGAAAACAGGATGTCCAGAGTCAAATATTTATTCTTGGAGACATTTTTTCCCAGATTTTCTTTAATGACAGCTCTCCTCCATTTTATATCCAAAAGCTAGATTGGCTTATTCAAATGTGTTAACCCTAGGATGTGTCTGGGAGTCTTCTGAGTCACTACTTTAAGGGGATATCTATTTGAGGAGGCACTATGGTAATGAAAGCAAGTCAAATACCAAATGTATGGATTGCTATTTAAATAACCTTGCACAAACCACTTAACCTCTTTGGGTTTCCATTTTCTCACTTTTATAAAATAAGAGGGTTGAATCGGATGATCTCTGATAACCTTTTTATAGTAAGAGCCCTATGATTTTATGACCCTGTGAATAGCATGATTATAGCTCTAGGATTAACATCTTCAGGAAATTTAACAGCAGACTTCCAGTTAAACTTCGTGATTGAACACATGTTTTTCCATGTTCCTTCCTAGTAAGGGACTAAAAATTTTGAGCAAAAGACTAAAAAATATATAAATCCACAGGCATAAGGAAGAGGAAGCAACATATTAAAGAGACACAACTTTTGGAAGATGTAAAGGAGGAACTGGCAGAAATGGGAAAGCCGAATACATGTGACTGGAGAGTGTTGTGTCAATGAGAAACAAGACAGTTCATACTCCAGAACCTGTTTAAGAATTAGAGGCAGTATGTCCTGTAGAAAACAGTAGCTGAAGTAGAAATAAAGTATAATTAATATACTCAGAGAGATAGCAGAAGATACTGCTACTATGAAACATGACAAGATTATATAAAAAGAAGAAATAACCAGAGAATAAGCACTTTTATAATAACTGAAATAAGCTTTTATATGATAGAAATTTTCCTGAAAATAGAGCAAAAAAAAGTCAAATAAATGGAAAATAGGAGAGAAGAGATAAAAATCAAACAAACGATCCAACAAGCTGAACATCTGATTAATGGGAAGTTCAGAAGGCAGGCGAGAGCAAAGAAAATGATAGGGAGGAAACTGTTATAAAAGTATATGGTAAAATTTTTCAGCCCCAAAGGTTCCAGTTTGGAAGGATCTTCTGAGTGCCCATAAAAATGTGAAAGCAATTCCACACCAAGATGCATAATTGGAAAATTTCAAAATAACAGTAATAAATAGATGATAATAGAAAGTTCCCGAGAGAAATATAGGCCTCATACATTGGCTCAAGAACCAGAATGGTATCTGATTTCTTAATGACAACATTCAAAGCTAGAAGATGTGGCTTTAAAATTCAGAGAGAAGGCCGGGCACGGTGGCTCACGCCTGTAAGTAATCCCAACACTTTGGGAGGCTGAGGCAGGTGGATCACCTGAGGTCAGGAGCTCGAGACCAGCCTGACCAACATGGTGAAACCTCATCTCTAAAAAATTTAAAACTAGCTGGGTGTGTTGGCACATGCCTGTAATCCTAGCTACTTGGGAGGCTGAGGCAGGAGAATCACTTGAACCCGGGAGGCGGAGGTTGCAGTGAGCCAAGATTTTGCCATTGCACTCCAGCCTGGGAAACGAGAGCGAAATTCCGTCTCAAAAAAAAAAAAAAAAAAAAAAAAAGAATTATGAGAGAAAATTACTTTTAACTTTGAATTCTACACCCAAACTACCAATTACGTATAAGGGTAGAAAAAACATTTTTATTTTTAGACACATGGTTCTCCAAATGTACCCCCACACTTGCTTTCTCCGGAATTGTTTCAAGGGTATGCTACGTCCAAGTGAGGAAAAACTGAGGAGAAAAGACCAAGATAGAGGGTTCAGGAAACAGGTGATTAAAATGAGGTGAGAAAGGTGAAGGGAAGTTACTGGATAACTTCTGTGCATTGATCTTAAAAATAAGCAGTCTTTACTTGAGCTAGAAGATGGAGAACTCCCGAAAGGGATGTCTTCAGGGGAAAGAATTAGAATAGGATTCTTCATGTGTAAGAGTGTGAAATATTATATTTATAGAGGTTTTACATTTCTGTTGCAAACCTTGGGAATGTGGGGGGCAAAGTGACAATATTAACAATAGGAAGGAAATATTGTTACTACTCAAGGTACCAAATGTATTCAAAAATATTACTTCACTGATTACTGGAAGGATGGAAGAAAGGGAAATGAGGTAGTATCAAAGAACTAAGTCTTCTGCCATGATAGGAAGTTAATATATTATGTCTAAAATTTATAAATAAAAATAACAATAGAAGCATATTATTTAGAAATCAGGCAAACACTAGAATGAGTTTTGGCAGAGGGTCAAAGTTTTGGATACGGGATGCTGTATTTTGTATAAACTTTGTGGTACTATTTAACTGGTAAACTGTGTGTGTGTGTTTGTGTGTGTGTGTGTGTGTGTGTGTGTGTGTTGCTTTGACAATAATGAGAAATGATAACTAAAAATTCTTACAGATTTCTAAATGCTATGAGCTGAATGTTTGTGTCACCTCAAAATTCATATATTGAAAACCTAATCTTTAATGTGATGGCATTTGTACATGGGGCCTTTGGTAGGTAATTAGGCCATGAAGGTGGGGCCCTCAAGATGGGAATAGTGCCCTTATAGAAGCTTGCTTCCACTCTGTCTCTTGGCCCTCCATCATGTGAGGACGCAGTGAGAAGACTACTATATGCAAACCAGGACAAAGGCATTCATCAAAACCTGGTCATGCTGGCATTCTAATCTCAGACTTCTCAGCCCTCAGAACTGTGAGAAATACATTTTTGTTGTTAAATTCTGTTGTTTAACCAAGTCTATGGCAATTTATTATTATTGCACCCTGAACTCAGATACCAAGTATTTTGGACTTTGATTGTTCAGGTAGTAGATTAACTCATGATGAAGTGTATATATTTTTGTTATCTGCAGGAATTAGAGTTATACCTTGACATTATATTTGAAGGGGTTTTCGCATGCTGTTTGAATGATAAAAACAATGATGAAGAATCTAAAAGTTGTTGCTACAATTCTGAGACCTTAAATATATGTTACAAAATTTAAAAAGGCATTAACTATTGATGGCTAAGGAGAAATAGAAAAAGACAGATAAACTTTCATTTGGTTTGGTAGGTATAATCATAAGACAAATTAAACATAGTTGCTTTGTTAAAGAAAGAATAGTTTCCCTTCATTCTAAGTAGTTTTTAAATACTTAATATATTTTTCCCTCAAAAACTTTGCATGGCTAGTGCATCTATTCTCATGGAATGTTTTTAACTGTTTGCTGACTCATTAGCTATTCATCTGTAGCTAATATGAGGCACTTTTGTTGTGGTTTACAAAAATATGGAGGTTATGTGATTTGGTGCATGCATTTCAGAATTTAGATTGTCTTTTAATAATCAAAAACATGCTTTGCCAAAAATCTAGTATGAGTGTGCTCAAAATATCAAGTGCCTTTTGAATTTTTAAAATAAAAACATTCCAACAATAAAAACCCAACAGCAAACAAACAAAAAACCCCAGAACTTGTCTTGTAAACAAAAGTGTTTAGCAGATATCCTTAAACCTCCTTGAGAGAATTTTTAGACATAAGAGAGGCAGAGGCAGAGACCAAGATAGAAAGGGGGGATATTTCTCCTTGAATTTTTCTTTTAACCAAGGACATTTGGTTTTGGGAGGAAAAGAAGGAGAGAAGAAATGAAGAAAGAACATGATTTGTCTCAAAGATTTATTTTATAATTGATTGTAGCTTATAAAGGTTTTCATTGATAGTGTATGGGAGAGAGAATTGTAAGTTTCAATGCTGACACTTTGAAGAGTTGCCCTGTTATTGCAGCTGCTTAGGCAGCCTTGCTCAAACATCAATGGTGCATTGTGGCAGTTTGCTCTGCTTCCCTGTTTCTGATGGACGTTCTCCAGGCAGTGAAGGGCAAAGGGGCTGGCAATGCTGGTAACTGGCATAATAGGAGTTGTTGGATCAGTTTTGAGTGTATGTGTGTGAACTGAACGTTTAATGACAAATTCTGTGTTATGGTTAGTCTAAGCTGAGTATCAGAATGTACTTTATGTTCAATTAATGTAGATTGGATTATATTTTTATATTGTCATTTTATAGCATAGAGTGCATAATGTTTAGGGTGCATAATTTGTAGTGGTTGGTAAAAAGGACCAATGCTTGCTGCCTGAACAAAAAAAATTGAAGATATACTCAGATATAATCACACTGAAATATTTCTGTCATAAAATAAATAATTGACTTTTACTGTTCATAATATTTTATTGTTTTTAAGGATACCCATATTAAATAGTTTCAGCTGTTTGTGAAAATGTGTTCTGATTTTTTTTGGTCTCTTGTGTGTGTGTACAAGAACACTCTAATTTACTCTTGTAAAATCGTAAACTTTTAGAAGAGATTTGAAAAGTCACCTCAGACTGAATAGATAGAGGCATTACTTGGGAGAATATGACATAATTTTCAGAGATGACACAGAGAAGGCAGAGATGATGAACAAATATTTTGCCTATATTTTTCTTTCCAAGAAGAATAATCTTCAAATTAGAAGAAATGAATGGAAATCAATAAATTGGTTAATAGGAGACTATTTTGGCAAATTTACAATCTAAGTCCACAGAGTTTGGTAACTTTTATTCAAGAATAATAATGACCATAATTTTTTTAAAAACTTGCATATTTATATAATGTGTGTTTTTCAAAGTATCACAATGTATGTATTCACTGAATCCTTAAGGGAATCCTGAAAAGTAAACAGGGATGACTATTTGCATTTTGCAGGTGAGGAAACCAAAAGGAAGCAAATAAAAAGTTTTTAGCAGTAGGCAGTAGGTCATACCTTTTCACTTATTCTCATTTAATAATCACCATGCTCCAAGAAAATTTTATTATCTCCATTTATAGATGTGTTAACTGAAAGTAAATATATCTTTTTCAAGCCACACTGCTGTCTATCAGAACAACTGGAATCCAAACCTAAGGACTTTTGCTCCAAAGTCTAAACTTTCTTTGACTGAACATCATAACTTCCAGAAATGATCATATTTGGAGAATCGGAAGATATAAAATAATGGATACAAGCAAACATATAAAATATTAAAGATGAAATAAAGGTGAATTCTCTAACCTACAGAGTTAACTTTATCTCCTGCAAAATTCTGAAATATTGAATAGATTATTTGTGACCATGTAGAAACCAAGGTGTTATTTTACCAAGAACAAGTCATGTCATACTAATCTCATTTCTCCTTTTCTGATAAAGTTAACTGGGTTGTTAGCTAAGAAAATTTTGCAAACATATGTATCTTGGTGTAAACAAGGGATTTGATAAAATGATGGCAGTAGATTTAGGGAGATTCATAAGTTATTTGAAAAACTTCCCCCATATAGTCATGTTTAATTTTCTTTTCTGAGGCAAGTATTTGTGAATAGCCTACTAAATACAAAGCAATTTACTGTCCACTGTGGGATATCTTTTTGAAAAAAGAGAGAGTAAAACATGGAAGCTCCTTTCAAGAACTTAATTGCTTAGTATAGAAGCTAAGAAGAAAAATATAAATCACATAAATGCCCTGTGATGAGTATCTTAAGAAAGAATCCTCTCAGCATGGATCCCGGGAAAGCCTTCCTGTAGAGATGGCATTTTAACTGAAATGGAATTACGGATAGGGTTTGCATATAAAGAAATAGGGAAAAGGTTTGCAAGTGATAACATTAGCTCACATTCATTGACTGTATATTGTTTCTTTTATTCTTCATAATCATTTTGAGGTAGACTATATTATTATTTCTACATGGACATGATAATATGAAGTCAAAGATGCTTTAAGTATAACTTGCTTTATAAACTAGTTGGGTCAGGATTTGAACTTAGACAGTTTACCATAGATCTCATTCTCTTAAAAATAGAATCAAGAAGATGGGTGTTAAAAGAGGTTGTTTGAGTAATGATACAAAGTTAAGCATGGCTAAAATATAGGTATGCCCAAAGGAAGATAGTAAGTGACCTTGTTTGATCTTGTCGTCTTAAATAGTATTTTATATATCAGTGGTTTGGGTGAGAAGATAAGGAATTACTATACAATTTTCAGGTTATTCAAAGATGAAACACTGAATAAATTCAATTCCTGTATTTTATTTCAAAATAGTAACAACATAACCAGATACCATATAAAAGACATGGTTCTTGAAAATAAGCCCTGAAATTTGTATGACATAATAGGGAGAGGTATACACTTAAAAATAATATCTTCTTCTGTTGCATAGAAAAAATTTTATGCTTGGATGTACTTTCCTGATCATAATGTACAGAAGGGAAACCTAAACAGAGCACAGTGATCACACTGAGATTAGGAGATAGAAATTGAAATTCAGGGAGATGAGGCAGTAGAATTTGCAGGTAGAATACCGGAGGAAGGGAGATATGCAGACAAGGAACTTTGGAAATCTGCAAAAGGATTGCCTTGAGCCTATTGAATGCTGAATATTAAACTGTGCATACTTTGGGTAAACCTCCAGAAGGCCGGCAAAGAACAACCAGAGAGCTGAAAAGGTGAACCACTCCTGGAGCTTTCGCGGATTGGAAGTGTTTGAGTTTTGTTCAGCCAAAGTGGAGACACTTTGTTAATAGCCAGGGAAATGAGATCCCAAAAAGGATAATTCTTTTTCAGTAGGGCCTAACAAGCCTGCCCTAATAGAGCTTAAGAATAAGACTCAAAAGGACCAAACTGATCTGCAAGCTATTAACCAGCCTGCCAGAAAAATGTCTAATACTTTGTGAAGTTCAACAAAATTCAGCAGTCAACAACAAAAAGTTTATGATGAATGACATCAAAATAAAATTTATGTTACATGAAAAAGCTGGAAAATGTGACATGTAACTGGGAAAAAAATTACCAATGAAAAAACGTTCAGAAATGGCAGAGATGACGGAATTAGAAGAAAAATATTTTGTAACCATTATTATAAATGTGATCAAGGATTTAAAGGAAAGCTTGACTATGATCAGGAGAGAAATGAGTGGCATAAAAGGGAACTAAATGGAACTTTTAGAGATGAAAAATATATTTGGAATGAAAAAATTTACTACATTGGTATGGTATAACAGGATATTAGATACTACAGAAAAAGGATTAGTGAATGTGAAGACATAGCAATAGAAACTATCCAATCTGAAGCACACACACAATCTGAGAAAAAAGATTGAAACAGACACACAAATATAACCTCAGAGATTTATGGGACACTATGAAGCAGTTTAACCTGTATGTTAGTCCTAAAAAGGAGGTGGGGAAGGAAGGAAGAAAAATTACTTGGACAATCAAAGGCTGAAATATATATATATGGAGTCTTGCTCTGTTGCCCAGGCTGGAGTGCAGTGGCACATCGTGGCTTACTGCAACCTCTGCCTCCTGGGTTCAAGTGATTCTCCTGCCTCAACCTCCTGAGTAGCTGGGACTACAAGCAACCCCCACCTTGCCCGGCTAATTTTTGTATTTCTAGTAGAGACAGGGTTTTGCCATGTTGGCCAGGCTGGTCTCAAACTCCTGACCTCAAGTGATCTGCCTGCCTCAGCCTCCCAAAGTGCTGTGATTAGAGGCATGACCCACCATGCCTGGCCACTGAAAATATTTCAAATTTGACTAAAACTGTATTTACAAAGATCTAGAGATTTCAACTATAAGTAAGAGGAGAAAAATGAAGGAAATGGCATCAAGACACATGATACTAAAATTGTTGAAAACAATTGATAACAAGAAAATCCCAGAAAGAGACAGGAAATGGAGGCATTATGTACAGGAGGAAGACACAAATATTAAATACTTCTTGTCAGAAACAATATAAACTAGAAGACTTAGAATTTCATTGATATGTTTGGCTATGTCCCCACCCAAATCTCATCGGGAATTGTAGTTCCCATAATCCCCGTGTTGTGGGAGGGACCCGGTGGGAGGTAATTTAATCACGGGAGTGGTTACCTCATGCTGTTCTCATGATAATGAGTGAGTTCTCACAAGATCTGATGGTTTTATAAGGGGCTTTTCCCCCTTTTGCTCAGCACTTCTTGCTGCTGCCATGTGAAGAAGGATGTGTTTGCCTCCTCTTCCATCATGATTGTAAGTTTCCTGAGGCCACCCCAGCTGTGCTGAACTGTGAGTCAATTAAATTTTTTCTTTTATAAATTACCCAGTCTTGAGTATATCTTTATTAGCAGCATGAGAACGGACTAATATAGACATCTTTAAAATGCTGAAAGATAAAAAGAGTCAACCTAGAATTCTATAAAATAAAGACTTTTGGGGACATAAAAGCTGAAAGAGAAATCATCACCCACAGACAAGCACTACAAGATGTGTTAATGGAGGTTCTTCAGGAAGAAGGAAAATGATACCAAATAAGATGGAAATTTGTAATAACACAAAGTAAAGAGGAGTACCAGAAATGGTAAATATATGAGTAAATATAACACACTTTTTTCTTTTAAAATTTTATTTAAAAGGTAACACTTTGCAGCAAAATAATTAACAATGTATTGTGGGTTATATAGTAGTAAGATGTTTGACATAAATTACATAAATAATTGGAGCAGGGAAATAGAAGTGTGTTGTTGAAATGGTTTGATATTATATATGAAGTGGTATATTATTATTTCAAGGTAGCCTTGATAAGTTAAAAGTTACATATTGTAAACCCTACAATAATCATTACAAAATAAAGAGATATAACAGTAAGGCCAAAATAGAGATAAAATGGAACATTGAATACTCAACTATTTCAAAAAAAGGCAGACAAAGAGAAAAAAAAATAAAGAACACATGGGACAGAAAAGAAATACGAAGTTAAAGTTAATGGATTTAAACTTTCTTATATCAATAAATGCAATGACAAAAATTGCAATCAATAATTGCAATGACAGTTGCAATAGCAGCTCATCCACCAGAGGTGTTAGAGAAGACAGAAGGATAATGAAAAGGGGTTAACTGTTTTGACTCTATAATAATTTTGAAAATTATGTTTAAGTAATTAGAGTATGTAGATTATTTTTATTCTCAACAGAATTTATACAAGCACATATATTCTGGAATAGATATGTGCTACAACAGAATGACTCCAACTCCTTGAGGCTCTCATTAGACACAAACCTGTTATTGTTAAGTAGCTACATCTCAATCCATATTTTCTGGTTAAATAAAGAGAGTACATTATTCCTTATTCTACTTCTTTGCTCTTCCTTTTCTCATATTAAGCCCAAACACCCTATAATGAAATATGGATAACCACTTACATAAATGGTGTACCATAAAATTGAGATGGTAAGATTTGACTATTAAACAACTAGGTAGCTTTATGGTTTATTATTTTCTGGATATAAACAGAAGATCCTCCTGATGCTATCCACATACCCTCACGCAATCATTAGTATAGTTCGGTATTTTTAAAATAACTTTTGAAGAGAAGACACTTTTTAAAATACAAAAATGGCAACATATAATACATATTATTCTATAAGCTAACTTGTTAAAATGCAAAAATATGAAAGATGCTTGTTTTTCAAGTATTTATGTGTATCAGTGTCCATGACTCTTTGCAAATCATGTGTGACTTTTATGATTATTTCTTTAGGATAAAATCATTGCCAGGTTGCAGGGGCATGAGGGAGCACATATAAGGTTATGATACATATTGCCAGAATACTCTTCAAGAATTCTTTACCTCTCACAGGGTTGTGCTAGTTTCTCTACCCTCTCATCGATAATAAACATTTTCAGTCTAAGCCAAGGTAAAAAGTGATACCCATGACTTTTTCATTTTGTATTTCCTTTATTTTTTGAGCATCTCTTTATATGTTTACTAGTCATTTGAACTACTGTGAAATTTCCATTCACTTACTTGCATGTTTTTGTTTTATTCTGCTGTAAAAAATGTTTTACACACTCCCATACATGCTTATATGTATCTCTCATTATTTTGTAAGACTGTATTTTAAAGATACTCACTTTTTGACATATATAAAATATTTTCACCCTTTTGGCATTTGACTTCTAACTTTTATATGGAATTATTTACTCTAAAGATGTTTTCAATTTTTATGTAGTCATATCTCTCAACTTTTTGAGGGTCTTTACCTTGGATTATGCCAAGGAACATTTTTCTACCCCAAAGCTATGAAAATATTCTTAGTGTTTTCTTATAATACGTTTATTGTACTGTTCTCTATAATTAATTTCAATTATCTGTATTTATTTTAGTGTATGAATTTCACTTGCTCAGCTAATGAAGTAAACATGAGCCAGCAAAAGATTATGAAACATGGCAAACTTCTGAGATTGATAATGATAGTTATAATATTAATAGAAAAATAAAAAATGACATTCATTGAGCTTTTACTGTCTTCTAGGGACAGTGTTTTTTATATTCTTTATCTTTACAACAATGCGATATGTTAGATATTTATATCTCTATTATCTCATTGTAACGGTGAAGAAACAGATTCAGTAGTTAACCTGGATTTCTCATAGTGGGTGTTTGCTATCTATTGTCATATAACAAATTACCACAGACTTAGCAGCTTAAAACAACAAACATTTATCTCACTATTTCTGTGGGTCAGGAATTTGGGACCTGCTTTACTGGGTGCTTCTAGTTCAGAGCCTCTTGTAGGTTGCAGTGAAGATATTGACCAGGTCAGTGGTCATCTAAAGAATAATCTGTTTCCAAAATGGATTAATCCTATGGTTCTTGGTAGGAAGTCTCAGTTTCTGACCACAAAGTCCTGTCTGTAGGGCTGCTTGAGTGTCCTTATGACATGACAGTTGGTTTCTTCCAAGGCTAGTGGACAGTGAGAGAGAGAGAGAGAGAGAGAGAGAGAGAGAGAGAGATTACCAGGAGGGAGCAAAAGATTGTAAGTTGGAGGGAGCAAAAGTTTGTAAGTTAAAATTACTCTATGGCTATATATATTAGTGATAATAGAAAGAAGTCCAAGAAACTGGGACCTGCATTGTGTACATGGCTTTGTCTCAAGGAACCCCTGGAATGTTTGTCTGTTGTCAGGAAAGCATGGACTCCTATAAAAGTTTTGATTTCTATAAGAACTCAGACCTGAGGTTGAAGACCTTCTACATGGATTAGCAGGAGAATTGAGGCAAGTCCTAACACTTCTTATAATTAATTTCTGCATTTTCCTGATGCCTGTAAGTCACTATAAGAGTAAAATATTGAGTGTGAAAAGCATAAAGAGCTAAGAAAAATCAAAATTATTGCATTACTTTTATGAATACATGTAGGGATCTTAATAATCCCTCTATGGGCCAACCTGGGAGCCATTCCTAGTTTTTTATTTGTTTTGTGATTTATAATAATCAAAGTGTCAAATCAGTTGATTTTGTATTATCTAAGTAATTGTTGCTTGCATGATAAAGGTTAACCTTAAATATTCCTCCTGTTTGGCAAATAATTAATTATGCATTATTAATTTTCACTTGAACTATGTAGTCTTAGCCTAGAGAGACTCAAAATAGAACATGCTGTAGTGTTCTAATGGAATACTTGACGGGGAAAAGATTTGAGTTTGGGTTCTAATGCTGCTACTGAGTAAGTGCAAAAATGTGAGATAATTCATACAATCTCTCTAAGCCTAAGTTCTTCATTTTTAATATTAAGACGTTGGTTGTGAAACTTACAAACTTGCTATGATTCAAATAGTTGAGCTTAAATTAAAAAAGTTTAAAGAATAATTAAACTGGATGACTATTGGTTATTTCAGCGCTTTCCTGGAAATACAAATGAAAAGGAACAACCTATGTTGAAAGTTGAAATGGTGCCTTTTATTGCTCCCTGTAAACAGATCATTTGATATTTTTATCACAATAAGAAGTATTTTTTCACAGCTATTTCTCTATAGTTTGTTTCTTCATAAGTTTAGTCATAGGCTTTCTGTCTTGGGTATGTGAAAAGCATTGTATATTTCAATGCCTCACATGTTAAAATTCAGAATATTTAATTTTACAAAGCAGAAATTGACTAATGGGGGACAATGGATTATGATTATGCTTACAGAGTAAAGAACTAATTTAAACAATTTAATATGAAAGCCCAATTTAATAGGAATTACAATCATTAGTAGTTTATGGGAGAGTTTTTTGCAATATAATGATAAACCAACCACAGACTAAACCCAGTAAAAACTTTGTAACATGTCCTTATACCGACACATTCTGTTGTTTTCATCCTTTTTCCTCTTTATTTTTCTGGATATTATCATCTTACATCTCCTAGAAGTTTCATTCAGAATTTAAGTATCAGACAGGTTTATAGGGCATTCGGATAATATAAGCAGAGAACAAATTATTTGCAGGTTTCAATATGGAAATTCTTAAATTATAGAAAGAATATGTATTCTAATGAAAGTTGGGATGAAATACAGTAGAATCTCATCAATAAATGTGAGTTAATATACACATACTTAATTTACACAAATTTAACCATATGCATTCATTTAAAAAAGAAATTTTTATCAAATTATTGAGCAAGTACTCTCACTATTCCACTTAAATAAGCTCTTGCTGATTAGTGAACTCACCACCCTGAGTGAGATTGGAGTTATGGTTGGCTTCCATCCCTGTTTACTTCTCAGGATGTGAGCATCTTGCCATTCTGAGTGATTCTAATATTTGATGACACCAAAAAATACATAGCTTTGACCTAAAACCAATTCAGTTACTTTATATGGTTCTGAACTGAAATAAAAACAAAACAAAGCAAAACAAACAAACAAGAAACTGTTCCAACGATGAAGGATAAGAAAAGCTCTGTTGGATTTATAGGGAGAAGATTTATAGTCTCCAATGTGTTACATCTTTTAAAGGGATAGATCAAATGCTTTAAAGTCGTTATTTCTCATTTGGATTCACAGGAAAACAACATAGGCTTTGTTTTGTACTTCTTTATCTGTGGTTAACAATATTTAGTTCAGGGGGAATTACTGTTCTTGAAAGGGGAGCTAAAATGGCTAAACCACAACAGAGAGAGTTATAGGCAGTGATGTCAGCATTCAGATTAGCCTTTACTGTGGACTTTACTGAAGAGTACAAAAAACTGAATGACCAGAGAGTTTGATTAGCTATAAACGTTTTTTGAAATTAATTAAAAATTCAATTAAAGAATGAAAATTATTATTACTAAAAACAATTCAAACATGAAAATTTTTACAGTGCTCATTTTGCAGTGATGGGATTCTGAATAATTTTATCTTCTGAAATTTCTAGCTTTTTGCATTTTCTGAGTCTCCTATAATAGCATTTACAGTTTATAGTGAAAATTAGATATACCTCAAACATTATAACAAAACTCTCAGTAATTTAAATTTATGATTTCTTAAATTAGCTCACTTTTGTGTCTGTGTGTGTGTTTGTAGGATAATCAGTGATAGGAATGAAAACTTGACAAGCTTCTTCCTGAACAAGATATTTGTCTTTTAGTTAAACTTTGCAGGAGGAAAGATGACGAATTTCCATTTATTAGTGCAATATAATTATAATCTCATCTCTTTAACTCTGTATTTCTTTAGTATACAAGATAGTACTGTGGTCTAGTCACTTTTTTTTTTTCCATGAGAAAGCGTCTCACTCCATTACCTAGGTTGGAGTGCACCGGTGCAATTTTGGCTCACTGCAACCTCCAACTACCTGGTTCTAGCGATTCTCCTGCCTCAGCCTCCCGAGTAGCTGGGATTACAGGCATGCACCACCATGCCCAGCTAATTTTTGTATTTTTAGTAGAGACAGGGTTTCACCATGTTGTCCAGGATTGTCTGGATCTCCTGACCTTGTGATCTGCCCGCCTCCACCTCCTAAAGTGCTGGGATTACAGGCATGAGCCACCATGCCTAACCACACTTTTATCTTTAGAAAGTTTTATTATATCATTAAATTGTGGCTAAAGTCTCATCAATTAGGATTTCACTGATATGGTTGGGCTCTGTGTCCCCACCCAAATCTCATGTTGTATTTTAATCCCCAATGTTGGGGGAGGGACTTGATGGGAGGTGATCAGATCATGGGTGCAAATTTCCCGCTTGCTGTTCTCATGATAGTGAGTGAGTTCTCACCGAGATCTGGTTGGTTAAAAGTGTGTAGCACTTCCCTCTTCATTTTCTCTCTCCTGCTCCTCCATAGTAAGCCATGCTTGCTTCCCCTTCACCTTTAAGTTTTCTGAGGCCCCCCAGGCATGCTTCCTGTACAGCCTGTGGAACTATTAAGTCAATTAATCCTCTTTTCTTCATAAACTACCCAATCAGAGGTAGTTCTTTAGAGCAGTGTGAAACTGGATGAAGACAGAAAATATAATTCTAAATTTATGATAATTGGAAAAAGAACTTGCTGAAATTTGTCTTACAAAACACGGGTTTGTCAAACACAAAGATCCTATGGCCAGCATTTCTAGAATGATTTCTCGCCAATTTAGGAAAACAAACTATTTTGAAGGTATTACTGTAACAACGTTAATTCCTGTCCCAACAATTTACTAATCAACAGCTCTTACTACCTATGAATACCTATGTATTCATTTAAAAAAGAACCTCTTAATATTAATCCTGGTCCCTATTAGCTTTAATTTGCTAGTCTCTAAACTCCTACCCATCTATCATATCAGCTTAAACATCACTTTCTCAGTGAAATCTTCTTAAGCATGTCAATTTTTTTTCCTCAGATGCTATCATGGAATCTCATTTTTCTCTCCAAAATCTATTTATAGTTATATAATAATTTTATGATTATTGATTAATGTCTGGTTCCCACAAGGCATTAGTAATATGAAAACGGAATTGTGTCTGCTTTTTTCTTCTCATTGTCACCATAGGAACTAACATACTACCCAAAATATAGTAGGACTTTAATAGTCATTTAATTATTACCTAAATGTCTGAATGAATTATTGAATGAATGTACCTAGCAAAAAAATTTAGCCAAGATACCTTAAGCTTTAAGTTTTAGTATTATAAAATTTCCGTTAAATCATTAATAATTTAAATAACAGCGTTTTGGAATTTCTGAGTATAGGAATTGAAGCTTATACCTGAAATTGAAGATTGTGCTAAAAAATGATAGATCATTATTTTAAAAACAATAGTTTGTAATTTTGTCCTCCTATGATTTTGGATTGACTTTGTTTTTCTATTGTTTCTAATAGAGTTGTAGAGTACCTTTCATCTTATTACCATCCTTTTATTATTACCCTTTTCTGTAGGGAAAACTACACAGTGATATTTTAACCATATGTCCATATCAGAGGACATATTGATCATAGCCTTTAATCAGAACTGTCATCTGCACATAAAAGTTTCGGTGAAAAGTTACCTAAGTTTACATGCCAGTTATGCCTGTATGCGTGAGATGGTATGTGACTGAATATTTATGGTAGGGATTATAGAAAGTGAAATAAAAGTTAATAAATCATTGAGAGATTCAGAGGACCCCTAGGAATGCATACATTCTTTAAAGTATCATAATTTATAAAATGTATTAAAATTATTTTTATATAAACAAACATAAAGGTGTTTGATAATATAATTCTAGTTTTGATTTCTAAGATGAAGAGAGCTTAATTCATTCACTTAATCATGTATTTATCAAATGTCATACATGCCCCCAAATAACTCTAAGCTAATGAATTTTATATTTTATCATAAAAAAACTCTTTTGAAGGGAGCTTTAGATATGAGAGACAAATATTTACTTATAATTTCATAGCATATACATAATTATAACTAAAGTCATATAAAATAATATTTTAATTTACTAATGTTAATTTTCAATCCTAACTTTATGAACGTTTTATTCATATTCGTCACATACATTTATAAAATTCGTACCTTTTCAATGTTTTCCGAACCACATCATTTTTGGTTTTACCTAAGTTATTTTAGTTATAACATGTTTTAAATTCATCTTTGATACTGTCACTTAAAATTTCATCAGAAGACACAAATACCATTTCCATAACACTAGGGGAATTTTTTTCAACACTTGTTCCTTAAGCATATATTTACGATCTGTACTATGTAATGATATAATCTTTTGGCTGTTTTATATGATGTTTGAAAGGCATATTTAAATCAGCAGCTAACATTTGCAATTGTGAAAAAAATTCCAGAAATAAAAACTAAACTTGTATTACATTTTATTTTGCCTCTATTTTTAACTATTCTAGCAGATTGACCTCTAAAGCCATGACAAACCAGTACCAACTGAGGTAATTCCTTGCTAATAAATCTTTCCTAAATACTACTTTGTTGTTTATAAGAAAGTAATTGGAAGTGTGGCCCATAATATGAGAGTCTTTCTTCTGAGAAATAACATTGACTAAACAGTTTGCCTTATACCAGTTGAACATCCATAATCTGAAAATCTGAAGTAAAATATTCCAAAGTCCAAAACTTTTTGAGCACTGCCATGATGCCAGAAGTGGAAAATTTCACACCTAACTTCACTTGAGAGGTGCACAAAATTATTATAAAATATTGTACAAAATTACCTTAAGGCTACGTATATAAGGTATATGTGAAACATAAATTTTGTGTTTAGACTTGGGTTCTATTGTAAGAATATTTCATTATGTGTATGCAAATATTCTAAAATCTGAAAAAATCTGAAATACGAAACACTTTGGACAAGGAATACCCAACTTGTATTCTGAAATATACTTTATTTAGTCAATACTTGTTATTTGTCTAGATGCTAGAAATAAAAAAGTAACCACCAGATACTCCTTTTCTTTGAGAATGTATGGTATAGTGGGAGAGACAGGCTGGGCACTGGACATTTTCAATATCTTATAATAATTGCTGTTGAGTGATAATTCCTCTCTCTATATACCAGAGAGGTATAGAGTCACAAGAAGGGGCACTTAACCCAAGTCAGGGAAGACTTCCTACAGGACATGATGGCTAAGAGAGCACTGAAAAGGTGAGTAGGAATTAGCCAGTTACAAGTATTAAGGGTTTTATAAGAAGAGAAACAGCTTATTAAAAAGTTTAGCATTAAAAAAAAAGTATATGACCCGTTCATGGGTTTGCATATAGTTCACATAGTTCAGTATGAATGGAGTAAGTTTGGAGGTTCAAGTATGTGTACCTGTGAAAGGTGAGGTTGTAGAAGTAAGCTAATATGTGCATGGATTGGTATAAATCCTTTTTTTTAGATAGAAGTCTTTAATAAATACTCTTTTATATATCATCCAAAAATTACTGTTTTAAGACAAGTGCTAAATAAATGCTCAATTTAAATGTAAATAACAATTTAAAAATAGTCACATCTTTGTAAACAAAGGGTAAATCATTGGTTTCACTTCCTATTTGTGTAAGAAAAGACTAATGGATGACTTTTGCAATAGTCCTTAATACATAAACTTTGTGAGAGTAGCGATTGTGAATTTGATTCATTTTGTGAAGCTTATGGTTGCTTTCAAATGTACATAGTAATAATTACCTCAACATTTGTTTTAATTTAGTCAAGATTATTTATCTTACCTGAAATGACAGACATTTCTGTTGAGATATTATTATGATTATCATTATGATTTATCAGTATAAATTATATAAACCCAAGGCCCTGACTTTGACATAGGATTTAAACTACATTAAATAGGCAGACCTTGAAATGGTCTCAAAATGAGTTGTTGTGGGAACTTTTCTATCTGAGTCAAACCAATTCAGGAATATAAAGCTAACTGAATTGAGATAGAAATAGTAGATTTGTGTGTATGTGAAGATGTGATACAATTAAGAAAAGATTTAGGATTTAATTTAGAAAATTTTGCTAGCTCTTTTTTTATTTTTATTTTTTGAGACAGAGTCTCGCTCTGTCGCCCAGGCTGGAGTGCAGTGGCGCGAACTCAGCTCACTGCAAGCTCCGCCTCCCGGGTTCACGCCATTCTCCTGCCTCAGCCTCCCAAGTAGCTGGGACCACAGGCGCCCGCCACCACGCCCGGCCAATTTTTTTTTTGTATTTTTAGTAGAGACTGGGGTTTCACCGTGTTAGCCAGGATGGTCTCGATCTCCTGACCTCGTGTTCTGCCTGCCTCAGCCTCCCAAAGTGCTGGGATTACAGACGTGAGCCACCGCGCCCGGCCAGAAAATTTTCTTAGCTCTTAATAAGTATTAGTTTTGTTTATTGCAAAATCATGAATATAGCATCTCTGGGACTGAGGAACTGTCACAATTCCAGGTCATTGTGTGGAATGCAGGCCTTGTAAACAATTTCGTTATACATAAAGTTAACTTTACTATAGTGAAAGCTGTTCACCACCAATTAGATCCTGAAACTGATTTGCTTGTGTTTATCTCAACCAACAGGCATTTAACAGGATACAGTATATAATATGTCCGGGTTAATATGTTTTACATAACTTGCAGATTGTTTACATTTATTAAATTTTGCATTATTCATTGTTACTTTTCTGTTGTATTTCCAATTCACAAAAATACATCAGTAGTTTAAAGGAGATTCATTAAAATATAAAAATATGAAAATTCTAACAATAATGTACAATAATGATTATAAGTATAAATAGTGAATAGTTTTCTGGAGCAATAAAATGTACATTTAATAAGTGCTGGGTAAAGTGAACATGGAGGTGTGAGGATTTCGTACAATCAGCTTAAGAAGCACAAATAGAAAGCCCACTGACAAATACCAGCAGTCCTTTTTCTTCCTGATTCCTCTGGTTCCAAGTATGTTGTCTTTTCTCAAACTTTGTCAAATAATCAAAGGAAGCTATTGAAACTTTTTGTTTTTGCCATTTTACTGTTTTCTGGTACAAAATAGATGACTTTTATTACTAAAGGTGAAAAGATCAAAACTACAAAGACTTCATTCAGAATTGTACTCCTCATAGCAAAAACAGTTACAAGTAATGCGCAGGATTGCTTCAAAACTGGTAAATCAGCCTCAAAGATGATGACAAATATGTTCAGAGAGAAAGCAGAAGAAAGTATTGATAAAATTCCTTTATCATACCAAATTGTTGGATTCTGCATTATATCAACATATTACTGTACTGTGGAAAAACAGATACCATCTAACGTATGTGGTAGCAGATAATTAAATTTTAAGTTGGAAGGTCTAAATCAGCTCTTGGCATTTGTTCTGTGAATATGTGAAGAAATGCTTGATGACTTTTGTTTTTCTTATCACTAAAAACCCATACTCTATAATAGATATTTGTGTTTGTTTGTTTGTTTTTAATAATTATTTCCTGAGCTGTGATGTTGACTGCGAAAGTGTCATTGTGACGGTATGGAGAACCAGACTTGCCCATAGCAAGGAGAGGGAGGTTTTTACATGAATGGAAATGTTGTTTTTTAAAGTTATTTCATAACCTACATTTTGCAACTATGAATGAAAAAATGAAAAACTATTTCTTCATAATACTTGTAAATCCTATAAAAACTATTCCTATAATTTCAAGTAGTCTTATTAAGTCATACATATCAATTCTTAAGTAGCCTTGACCTATTAATTTAAGGTCAACAAGATTTTTAGTTGAGGACAAGATAGCAGAATTTCTTTAGAATATTAATTTTGGTACATATGGCTCAACGATCACTGAGAACATGACTTTTACCCAACATTTGATGTGTTTACTCATTTTGGGGGAAAGGAATTGATGCCACATTATTAAGCCCATTTAAAAATAATTTCCAGGTGCAAAACATGAAGACTTTTTTTTTCTAACAACTTTATAGGACTGAGTGCTGTCAAAAGATGGATTAAGAATCCTTTTTTCTCCATCTTCCGAGTTAAAACCTTCAACGTTTTAGGTTTGTGTGTAATATAATTTTTGACTTAGCATCTGTTACATATTGAAGGTAGTCTTCAGTGAGAAACCTTTTCGTAACCTCTGGGTTGATGCTTATTGCAAATTATCTAGAACTACCTGACAGAGCCATCTCGAATTCAGTATTAATCCCAGTGACCTCTAAGTATGTCATGATTTTCTGATTCAGTACAAATGAAGATGTTTTAAAATTATTTTTCTGGATAAAAATTTCACCTGATCTATGGCTCACACAATTTATCATTGAGCCAGTAAGAGATACCTTGATGAAAGATTGTAAACAATGGCATTCTTCCAACTAAAACTGGTGGTCCACATGCTTGTTGAACCCTCATCAAGTGATCTAGCAGTTGCCAACAGTTTGAGAACAATCTTAGAATCTTAAAATATGAGGAGAAAAAAGAAGTAGAGAAAAAGATTAGGATCAGAATTAGAATTTAGGGAAAGAATATGTCAGTAGTATAATGAAAGAAATAATCTATTCTGAAAATATTTTCTTTACTTTTTGAAAGGGAGGGCTGAATAATTTATTTATATTCTCTTTCTCTCTTATTTGGTTTTTCCTTTCCTATTATAAAAGTCTTCCATGTTAGTGCTGTTCTGAAGAACTTTATAACACCATGAATTTGACTGGATTGATTGCATTTTAGTTGTTTGCCTTTTTTTTTTCTTTAAGGAGGCTTAAGGTCAGTGCAGACAATAACAATACCAGTAAACAAACTTCTAATAAATTAATTGTAGAAAGGTGTAGTTTCTTTGTATTTTTAAATATATATGACTTTTTATTTGTTTAATTAAAATGAAATCAGCATCTTACTTATAAAAATGATGTATGCTTATTTTAGGAAATTCGGCCACTACGGGAAAATTATATAGACAAAAAAATTACCTCTGTTTTTTAATGTTTCATATATATGTAAAAATATGTATTTATGTTTATATGCAGATATAAATAGGAACATATACTACATGTTTTTTAGTTTATTGGCATTAGATATAGAGAAATTGAATAAGAATGTTCAATATGACTAATTTAATGAATGGGATTCACGAGTTATTATAGGAAATTGTATGTTGGGTCCCACAGAGGCTTTTGTGGTCCTGTGTATGGCATGAAGATACTTCATTAAGGCTAACATCTATCACAGGAATGCTAAGTATGATTTGCTGCTGTATTTCCTATGTCTCATGGGTATAGCACATTGCTGGCTGCGATTGATGTTTAAAGAGTGTTCTTCCTTTTCCTTATTCATAGGCATACCATTTCCTTTCTGTAACACCTACAGGTTTTACCAGTGCAGATCAACAGGAGCTCTAATAGCAATACCACCTACAAATGAGTACATACTGTGAGCCAGTCATTGTTCTGGATTCTTCTTAAGCATTATTTCATTTAATTCTCACAATATCCACATAGTGTAGTTATTCTGCCCATTTTGGGGATGAGGCAAATGAAGTTCAGATTGAAAGTAGCTTGTGTTCTCGATAACTTTGTTAAACAGTCTTAACAAAATGCTACCTCAGGTATGTTTTAAACTTGGCACTGCCAAATATGATTTAATTGGTGTAAGGCAGGGCTCTGGCATTGGTATGTTTTAAAAGGTTCCCAAGCAATTCTTCTGGTAGCCACCATTGGAAATCACTGATATAGATAATAACCAATTTCATTTTTTGCAAAATTTTAATAAGTAGTCATTAAAGTTTACAAACCAACATCATCTGGTTTAGCTGTCTTTTATTTCTTCACTGTCATTTATTTTGCCTTTCAAATTAGCCAGGTAATAAGACTGAACCACATTAGGCTTTGCCTTCTCATTGGAGGTCTGAAGCTTGGAAAAAAGTATGCCTGATACCTATAAATAAAATGAATGTATCTGTAAATCAAAATCAGCTCTATGGATTTAGTTTTGTTTTGTTTTGTTTTTCTCGCTGCAAAATAAAAGAGGGTGAACCTACGCTGGTTGGCTTGCAGTAAGAATACTAACATTTAGTCTTACGTGATTTGAAACTTCCTGGAGAGTGTAGTAGGCCATTCTTGTATTGCTATAAAGAAATACCTGAAGCAAGTTAATTTATAAAGAAAAGAGGTTTAATTGGCTCATAGTTCTGCAGGCTGTACAGGAAGCATGGTGCTGGAATCTGCTTGGTTTCTGGGGAGGCCTAAGGAATCTTACAGTAATGGCAGAAGGCAAAGGAGGAGCAGGTACTTCACATGGCAAAAGCAGGAGCAAGGAGGTGAGGAGGTGCCACATGCATTTAAGCAACCAGATCTCATGTGAACTTAGAGTGAGAGCTCACTTATTACCAAGGAGATGGTGCCAAGCCATTCATTAGGTATCAACCCCCATGATCCAAACACCTCCCACCAGGCCCTCCTCCAACACCGGAGACCACATTTCATCATGAGATTTGGAGGGGACACATATTAAAACCATAATAGACAATAAATTCTGAAAATAAGGGCTTATGAGTGCAAGGAATAGTGGGGAAATATTAGTGACAAAGAAAATGTGGAGTAAAACTTTATATCTCAAAATTCTACTCCTATATGTTAGATGATCTCTTTTTTTCTGGTTTCAACTACTTTTATTTATTTTATTATTTTATTTTATTTTATTTTATTTTATTTTATTTTATTTTATTTTATTTTATTTCTTTTTGAGACCAGAGTCTTGCTGAGTGTTGCCCAGGCTGGAGTGTAGTGGTACAATCTCGGCTCAGTGCAACCTCTGCCTCCTGGTTTCAAGCGAGTCTCTTGCCTCAGCCTCCCGAGTAGCTGGGATTACAGGCGGCTGCCACCACACCTGGCTAATTTTTTTTTTTTTTTTAGTTTTTAGTAGAGATGGGGTTTCACCATGTTGGCCAGGCTGGTTTCAAACTCCTGACCTCAAGTGATCCGCCCACCTTGGCCTCCCAGAGTGCTGGGATTACAGGTGTGAGCCACCATGCCTGGCCTTCAACTACTTTTTAAACAAATTATTAAAGAAGTTCTAAACTCTTAGAATGTATTTTCAGTGTTAAAACATGAAATAGGCTCATTAATTCTGATATAGAAATTTTATAGTTCAATATTTAAAGCATTATCAACATGACATTTTATGGGTAGAAGCAATATTTTCAGAGCTAAGGCTAGGAAAAGGACATGCATTTCTAGAAAGATGCAACCGAAAACTGGAAAGGCCAGAAATTATAGAGATAGAAGTTAATGAAAATTTTTACTAATGACATCTTCAGTTAACTATTTTCTCCCTTTGTATTAATAAGGCCCCAAATCTTAGATTTAATTTAGGATCTCAACACTTATGATCAAAGATATTAGTCCCCTTTCTTCTTTGCATACAAAAAATGGGGTATGATCATAAAGCATGGAAAAGATGTAGCTTATTGGTGAAGATCTCATGGACAATTTTCAAATTTGGAAGAAGTAAGTAAGTTTAGATTTATCTTTCTTGGTTTAATTGTGTCTTACCTAACAAATTAGCTCTCACTGTAAAATAAAATTTTAGTTTTTAATCCAAAAAGGGAAACCTGAAATGCATTTTGTATGAGTGTGGGTATATATGCTGAATTTGACCAGTTTGTAAATCAGTAAGTGGGTGGTAATTCAAAGTCAAACGAAAACTATTCAGTTGGTGAAAAGGGTGGGGTAAGAGAATATTTAATTGTTTTGGAATGTACTCAATAAAAATATTTCTTTTTTTAACTCTAGGAAAATACACTGGATACTTTGTTTCTAAACTCACTGTTGCACAAATAAATAAAGATGTTTTAAAATGAGCTCTATTCTTTTTCAAGACCTAAATGGAAGTTTCCTCTGCGTTTGAGCAGACTTCAGCTACTAATTTGCAGATGAACTGATGTGTTGGAAAGATTTTACGTATGGACCTTAACATGTTTTACCTTTTATAAAAAAGTGAAAATAATGTTTTAAAATTGGCATTTTTCTTCCCTGATGGCATAGAGTATATTGTGATAGGGTTTTAAGTAGTTGGAACACTAAATTGAGCTTTGAAAGAGAATGCTCCTATCAGCTCCTCTTTTTTCAGTTCCTCTGTACATCTCAAATTCCTGTATTGCTCTGTTGGTGACTTTTGCTTTCTTTCTTGTTTCATAATGCTAAAATGGCATGGTCTCAGTCTGGTTTAGTTTGTCTTGGTGGAGAGTATCAACAACAACAAAAACGATGACAGCTCTTGAGGGATTGGATTCTTAGCTGGGGATGGAGTGGCAAGAGAGGAAGGCAGAAATAAAAGTTACCTCCTATCTGTTAGAATAAACTCTTTAAAAAAGGAAAACTTTATTCTCATAATTCAGGCAGGCTCATTATAGCCGCTTTCCCTCAGGAAATAGACAGAGGTAGACCTTCCACACTACTAAATAAACAATTCTACTGTTGAGTATTCAAACTTTTGCGTCTAATTTTAAAGGCATGATGACATGGGGCAGAGATGGCTTCTCCATAGGGAATTTATAGTTATTTGGAATCTTTTACATCTTAAGTTACAAACTATTTTTGTGTTTCTTACTAATCATCTTGTTAACATATTATCAACCAAACATTAAAAATATATAGAGCTTCTCCAATGTAAATTCCTTGGTATAACTAAATATTGGTCATAATTTTCTTTGACATGTAAATTCTTCCAAAATAATTGTCAGAAACCATGGGCTTAATGAATATACAATCCAATTTACAGTATTTGCTCTCTGTTTATCACAGAATGGCATTAGAATCATTTGGTTCTATCATTTCCTTGTCTTAATCTTGTCCTAGTTCCCAATTGTTTTTCAGTTGTGAAACATGACAAAGTGAACCAAAGACTGGATTTGTAATAAAAAAACTAGAGTTTTGGTTTTGGTACTATTATTTATTAACTGTACCATATAAACTGGGAAAAACATTTACATGAGCCTCAGTTTCGTTCCTTGTAAAATGTGAATTGTAATGTTTGTCCATGTGGTAATGGTGGTAATTGAAGAAGAGGACAGATGGTGAATATAACATGACTTTATGAAGTTTAGGTGTTTTACACATATATGTATTATTATTTAAAGACGAATGGCAACTTCTGCAAGAGAAATTTAAGATTCCATTGAACTCAAAGTTGTATTTTTAATTTTATCCAAATATTTTTATAATCCTCAACTGCCTTTTCCATCATGCACCAACATGGGCTTTACCTCTTTTAAAAAATGCGTGTTCCCCTTACAGTAGTCTATTACTTCATGCCAATCAGTCTAAATAGTGCATATTCATTTAATGGGATTTTTGAATAAAGGAATTATTTAAGTCAAAAATACAGGCTCAGAAATAGTAACTGATATTATGAAGAATTGGGCACTCTATGCCGCCATCTAGTGCCCATTAATTTACCCTTGCTGGTGCCAGTAACTCGAGGATTCCACTCCCCCTGAAATGTTTCAAGGCAAAAACTAGTATTTATAGAAATGAGTTTCTCACACATGATGCACATATATTGTCTAAAATGCAAATGTAACCATGTTACCTTTCTACTTGAAAACATTTCTTTGTGCCCAAGATTAAACCCAAACACCTTAGCATGGCTTATATTGACCCCAAATATTTAGTCATGATCTACTTTGTCAGTCTTATTTTCACTCTTTCCATACTTTATACCTCACATTTCAGCTTTACCAAATTTCTTGCCTTTTTCACTAACCACACCATGTACTTTCATGCCTCTGAGTACATAATGCTTCTTCTGCCTGAAATATCATTCCATTCCCTTGCTATCTAGTTAAATCCTATTAATCTTTTAAAGCCCAGCTCAAATATCACCTCCTCAGTGAAGTCTTCCTTGATTCTTCTGGAAAGTTAAATGCCATTCCAGTGTGCTCCCAGAGCACAGGCTTCTAGAATAAGATCTTAAACTTTGAAAATGATTATTTTTGGGTGTCTACTTACCCTGACATATTATAAGCATAGGCTTTGTCTTATTCTTTCTTTTTGTATGCCACTTTGCAGTCTTTGGCACATACCAGGCTCTGAATAAATGTCTGTTGAATGAATGACAGTGATTCAATCAGTCAGTGAGTCATTCAGCATTATATAAAGCCATACCACTTGAAATAAAAAAAATTATATATGTAACTTTGTTATTATTTTTAATTGACAAATGAAATTGTATATATTTATGGTGAGCAAAGGATGTTTTAACATATATATACTCAGTGTGAAATAATAAATCAAGCTACTTAACATATCTATCATCTCACATACTTATCATTTGTGTGTATGTATATGTGTGTGTATGGTGATAACATTTAAAATCTATCCTCAGCAATTTTCAGGTGTGTAGTGCATTATTTGTTACCAACTATGTGTTTTCATGCTGTAAAATAGATGGCCATAATTTATATCTCCTAACTGAAATTTTGTACCCTTTGACCAACATGTCCCCATTCTCCCCACTACGCAAGCCCCAACCTTTGGTTACCACTATTCAAAAAATAACTTTTGAAAAGCAATGTCCAGTGCATAAACTTCTTCTTAAATTGGGAAAATGAACAACTTTTTAATACTTTGCTAATAAAAATCAGACACTTGTAGGTTGATAACTGCAGATTCCAGGCCACACTGTAAAAACATCCACCACTCAGCATTATTAAATATTTTAATTCTGAGCTTTGAGAAGACTAATAGAATCATATTGTAAAACTGCTTTAAACACCTCCAGTCTCTGCTTGAAATATGTTCACTAATATTTCAAGCAACACGTCATCTGTGAGCAATTCTGATGTTAAGAGGTTCTTATTTACTTTGAGTTGAAACCTGTATCTAGTATTCTCAACCCATCATTTTATTAATAGTATATGCCTTGGGAACATACAGAGTAATCTCATTTGAAGTTTTCAAACATTTGAAACGTTTTCTATCCCGATTGTTTTCCTAATCGCATAGTCAACATGTAATACCCTTGATTCTTTCTACCATTCCAAATATGTTATGATTCTAGTCTTTCACCCTTCCTCTTCCCCCTTCTTAGGATATTATTGTGCTTCTGGGTCATGTATCACAGTATTGATCATGCCATCTGACCATTGCTGATGAGAGTGGGAATGTCATCTCCCTCATTCTAGATACTGTTATTCTGTCAGGTCAGTTTAAGATTTAATTGGAATTTTTCAGTACCCATATCACATGGTTGACTCATATTTGACCTTACTGGAGATGCTATCTCCTCTTATCCAAGGATACAGTAACAGGTCATTGAGATATTATCTAGTTATGATGTCAGAGAAGAAGGCAATAATCTCCAGTAAAGGGAGAGAATGCAAAAAATAATAATAAAAAGGTAAAAAATTGCATAACTTTGATATAATGCAATGGCTAAAAGGTGAAAATATTATTTTAAAATGTTAAACCTTTAGACGTTACCACTTTCATATTGCAGATGTGTGAAGCAAATGTTGATAGTAGTATATAGTTTTTAGAATTAAAATATTAAAATTTTAATAATTTTAACATTTCCTTTGAATATAATGACGTTAATAGTTTACCAACAACAGATTTTTAAAAATTGATGATTTCTATAATGTTGGATGCATTGTTTACATTTAGGGATAAACTTGTTTAGGCAAAATTTAGCTGCAGTTTTATAATAAAAATTCAAGGAAAATGTATTCAGGAAACTTCACTGGGATGAGTTTAGTCAGTTCAACAAGTATTCTATGTTATTTTCATTGCTTATTTTTTTGAGTATTTACTGCATAAGAGTATGAAGTATGTTTATCAATGTACTAATTGTATTTACATCTATTTATTTGTGATATTTATGCTTTCTAGTTAGATTGCAAACCTGTATGGCCAAGTCAGTTTTCACCTTGTTTTGTATGTGCTTGTATAGAGTTCTATGATGTTATTATACATACATACAAAGGGACAAGCTTTGTCATTGAAAATTGTTAATTGGGTTTATGAGTATCTTCAAAATGAAGGGTGTGTAGTACTTGCCTTGTTCCTAACAAATGGATTTTGGATTAATCAGTGTGTACTGGTTAACCCACCTTAGAGCTAACGTAGATTTTCCCTGTAGGTCTTTGACCCTGTGACATTTATCATCATGAATAGGCTTGAGATTGGAAGTTTAACCCGGAAAAGCTGTTATTTCTTTAAAAACCTGTGACTATAACTTTTTAATGTGTGACAATGTAGGAGGTGGCATCACCCATGTGAAACTTCATTGTTTGAATAGCTAAGTTTTCTATTGTAAGGATAATGGAGTTAATTATTTAATCATGTTTTAGACCTCATTTGTGGTATTTGGAAATTAAAATATTATTCTATGTACTAAAACCACAAAGAATAAATGTTTTCTAGCATATTTATTTATTTAAAAATAAGGCAAGATTTAAAGGAATAGCAACTTACAGGTACAGTTATGTGTTTTCTGATTTTTGTGCTCATCTTCACCTATCAATTACTGCTTAAACCACATTCCTCCCCCTAGATTAATTCTTCCAATGTATTTATACTTCTCCTTATAGACTACTAACTTGTTCACAGCTCCTGTTGTGCTTTGGAACATTTTAGCTTCAGATTCTTGCAAGAGGATTTTTATTTTAAATCACCAACTATGTCCCAGTTTTGAAAGTCCAAATTACCTAGTTAAAAATTCTTTACTTGGGGCCCACCATGGTGGCCACGCCTGTAATCCCAGCACTTTGGGAGGTCGAGGCTGGCGGATCATTTGAGGTCAGGAGTTTGAGACCAGCCTGGCCAACGTTTTGAAACCCTGCCTCTACTAAAAATCCAAAAATTGAGCTGGGCATGGTGTGCAAGCCTGTAATCCCAGCTGCTCAGGAGGCTGAGGCAGGAGAATTGCTTGAACCTGGGAGACGGAGGTTGCAGTGAGCTGAGATTGCACCACTGCACTCTAGCTTGGGTGACGGAGTGAGACTCTGTTTCCACCTCCTCACTCCGCCCCCCCCAAAAATTTCTTTACTTTGGATTCAGATAGATGTGGGTTTAACACCTTACTGTGCTTGTTACTTTGGTCAGTTTTCTTAATCTCATGATCTTTGTTTCTGAAATAGGTGGACCTTATCAGATTGTTAAGCAAAACGATTGATAGTTAATGAAGAATGCTGAAGATTATCCTCACTATTAGTAAAAGCTTAATAAACAGTAATGATCATAAATATATTATTATTTAATCAGATTTCTCTGTTGTCCATTTGAATCAGCAAATCATTCTCCTGAACCTTAAAGACTGTCCTGAATGTAGCTCCAGTTTCATTGTAAGCTTCCTCTGTGATGAAACTAAATTATATTTTAGAATGCTCTCTGCTAATGCTAGGGGGAATGTTCTTGGTTTACTTCGTGGACATTCATCGTAAGTTCTGTATGGGTTCCTATGGATATATATATTTTTCAGTCTCAGGGCCAAATTAGAAAAAAGGTTAATGCTATCTCTTCAAGCCCAGTGATTACCATGAAGAGTTCCCTATCTATGTATTTTTGGGGTGGGGCAGGTCACATTTAAAAAATCACAAAGTGGCCGGGCGCTGCGGTGCACACCTGTAATCCCAGCACTTTGGGAGGCCGAGGCAGGCAGATCATGAGGTCAAGAGATCGAGACCATCCTGGCCAACATGGTGAAACGCCGTCTCTACTAAAAATACAAAAGTTAGCTGGGCGTGATGGCACGCACCTGTAGTCCCAGCTACTCGGGAGGCTGAGGCAGGAGAATCGCTCGAACCTGGGAGGCGGAGGTTGCAGTGAGCCGAGATCGCACCACTGCACTCCAGCCTGGTGACAGAGCAAGACTGTAGTCCCAGCTAGTCGGGAGGCTGATGCAGGAGAATCACTTGAACCCGGGAAGCGGAGGTTACAGTGAGCCGAGATCGCGACACTACACTTCAGCCTGGCGACAGAGCGAGACTCCGTCTCGGAAAAAAAAAAGAAAGAAAAAAAAATCACAAAGCTTTTCTTTCATTTTTTTTTCAACTTTTTTATTGTAGTAAAATACACATAACATAAAATACACCACCTTATTCAATTTTAACTGTACAGTTTGGTGGCATTAAGTACATTCATATTATTGTGAACCCATTACCACCAAGTATCTCCAGAATTATTTTCATCTTGCAAACTTAAAGCCTATACACATAAAAGAACAACTCCTCATTTTTCCTTCCCACCAGCAACCTGGCAACCACCGTTGTACTTTCTGTCTTTATGATTTAATTTCCCTAAGTACTTCATATAAATTGGATCATACAATATTTGTCTTTTTGTGTTTGGCTTTATTTCATTTAGCATAGTGTCCTCAAAGTTCACTGATGTTGTAGCATATGTCACAATTTCCTTACTTTTTAAGACTGAATAATATTCCATTGTGTATATATATCACAATTTGTGTATCCATTTATCCATCCAATAGACACTTGAATTGCTTCCATATTTTAGTAATTGTGAATATGGGTGTTGTGAATATGGCTGCTATGAACATATTAACAAATATCTCTTCAAGACCCTGCTGTCAGTTCTTTTGAATATATACCCAGAGGTGGAATTGCTCTGTCATATGGTAGTTCTATTTTTTAACTTTTTGAGAAACTGCCATGCTGTTTTTCACATTTCTATCAAAGGTGTAAAATGGTTCCAACTTCTCCATATCCTCACTAAAACTTGTTTTGTGTGTGTGTGTGTGTGTGTGTGTGTTTGATAGTAGCAATTCTAATTGGTGTGAGATTCCATTTCATTGTAGCTTTGATTTACATTTCCCAAATGATTAGTCATGTTGAACATCTTTTCATGTGCTTGTTTGCCATCTGTATATCTTTCTTGGAAATATGTCTATTCAAGTTCTTTGCACAGTTTTGATTCAGATTTTTGTTGTTGTGTTTTTAGGAGTTCTCTGTATATTTTGGATGTTAACCCCTTATCCAATATGAGACTTGCAAACATGTTCCCTTATTCAGTGGTTTGGCTTTTTACTCTGTTGATGGTGACTTTTGAGGTGCATTTAATTTTTAATTTTTATGAAGCTCAATTTGTCTTTTTTGTTGTCATTGCCTATGGCCTGTTGTCATACTCAAATAATTGCCAAATCCAGTATGATGAAGCTTTTGCCTCATGCTTTCTTCCAAGAGTTTTATAGTTTTAGATCTTATATTTAAAGCTTATATTTAGAATCTATTTTGAATTAATTTTATATATGGTGTTAGGTAAGGATTGAAGTTTATTCTTTTGCATGTGGATACCCACTTTTCCCAATCACTATTTATTGAAAAGACTGTCTGTTCCCCATTGAATAATTTTAGCACCCTTTTCAAGGATCATTTAACCACACTGGTGAGGGTTTATTTCTGGACTCTATTTTATTTCTTAGTTTGTCTTTACGCCAGTACCGTGCTGTTTTGATTACTGTAGCTTTGTAGTACGTTTTGAAACCAGGAAGTTTGAGTGCTTTGGTTTTATTCTTCATTTTTAGTTTTGTTTTGGCTGTTTGGGGGTTCTCTGATACTTCGTGTGAATTTTGGGATGAGTTTTTCTATTTCTGTGAAAACATAATTTGGATTTTTATAGGGAATACATTATATCTTACTTTGGGCAGAACTGATATCTTGACAATGTTAAGCCTTCCAATTCGTGAACACAATTCTTTTCATTTATGTCTTCTTTAATTTCTTTCAGAAAAGTTTTATAGATTTTATTGGTAAAAATTTTATTTCTTTGGTTAATTTCTAAATAGTATTATTCTTTGTGATACTACTGTATATGGAATTGTTTTCTTAGTTTTCTTTTTAGATTGTTCAGTGTTAGTGTGTAGCAATGTGACTGATTTTTGCGTGATGATTTTTTTTATCCTGCTGCTTTGTTGTATTTATTTATTAGTTCTAACAGGGTTTTTTTTTGGTGGAAATTGTGGAATATGTTTTTTACATATGAGATCATATGATATGTGAACAGAGATAATTTTACTTATTTCTTTCTGATTTGGGTGCCTTTCATTTCTTTTTTTCCTAATTAACTGCTCTGACTAGGACTTTCAGTATTATGTGGAATAGTACTTGCCTTGTTGCTGATCTCAGAGGAAGAGCTTTCAGTATTTTACCCTTGAGTATTATTTTAGCTGTGAGTTTTTAATACATGGATTTTATTATGTTAGGGTTTTTTACTTTTATTCTTAGTTTTTGAGGATTTTTATTATAAAAGGATGTCAGATTTTGTCAAGTAGTTTTTCTGCATTAATCAAGATTATTGTTTTTTCCCTTTATTTTGTTAATGTGGTGTATTATGTTGATGGGTTTACATCTGTTAAAAATCCTTGCATTTCAACGACAAATCCTACTTGGTCATAGGGTAAAATCCTTTTAATATGCTACTGAATTTGGTTTGCTATAATTTGTTAAGGATTTTCAATCCTTGTCAATGCTCATAAGAGATATTGGTCTGTTGTTTTTATTTATTGTGTTTTTGTCTGGTTTTGGCATCAGGGTAATACAGGCCTCATGTAATCAATCAGGGAGTGTTTCCTTCTCTGATTTTTTTGGAAAAGTTTGAGAGGGATTCTTTTTTATTGCTGAATAGTACTTCATTATGTATATATGCCACATCTTCTTTATCTATTCATCTGTTGATGGACACTTCCAAATCTTAGCTATTGTAAACAGTGCTGCAACAAATATAAGAGTGCAGATACCTCTTTGATATACTGATTTCCTTTCTTTTGGGTATATACATACCCAGCAGTGGGATTGCTGGATCATGTGGTAGCTCAATTTTTTGTTTTTTGAGGAAACTTTAGTTGATATTATTCTTTTTAAAAATAATTGGTAGAACTCACCAGTGAAGTCATCAGGTCCAGGACTTTTCTTTATTGGGAGATTTTTGAATATTGATTCAATCTCCTTACAAGTTATATAGGTCTATTCAGATTTTCTATTCCTTTGTGGTTTAGTTATGGTAGGTTTTGTTTTTCTAGGAATTTCTACATTTCAACTAGGTTATCCAATTCGTTGGCCTAGCAATTGCTCATCGTACTCTTTTATAATCATTTTTATTTCTGTAGAATAGTAGTAGTGTTTCCTCTCTCACTTCTGATTTTTGTAATTTGAGTCTTCTCTTTTTTTCTTAGTATATATATCCAAAGGTTTGTCAATCTTATTAATATTTTTGAAGAACCAACTTTTGGTTTTATTGGTTTTATCTTATTTTTCTATTCTGTATTTTACATCTGCTCTAATACGTATTTCTTTCCTTCTGCTAGCTGTGGGTTTAGTTTGTTTTTTTTTTTTTTTTTTTAGTTCCTTAGGTTGTAAAGTTAGGTTCTGATTTGAGGTCTTTTTTGTTGTTTAATGTAAGCATTTATAATTATAAACTTTCCCCTTAGCACTCCTTTTGCTGTGTTTCTTAAGTTTTGATTTGGGATAATACTTTTTCATTCATCTCTGGGTGTTTTCTAATTTCTCTTGTGATTTCTTTTTTGATCCTTTGTTTAAGAGTATGTTGCCTAACTGTTTTCATTTTGTTACTGATTTCTAACTTTATCCCTTTGTGGTCAGAAAGGATACTTTGTATGATATTTGTCTATTTAAATCTATGGAGACTTAATTTGTGGCCTAATATGTGGTCTATCCTGGACACTGGTAATTGCCTTACATACACTTGAGAAGATTGCGTATTCTGTTTTTGTTGGGTGGAGTGTTCCCAGTATGTCTGTTTTATTGTTATTGTTTCTTGTATTACTAAGTAACAAATGAGTTTTACAATTTTCTGTACCTCACAAACCCCCATTTCTCTTCCCAGAAAATATCTATAATATTTTATTCAATTTGTTCTTGTAGTGACTGTGTAATGTAACTTTTCCTGTTTCTTCTCCTTCCTTGTGTCTCCTGCAGCCACACACTTCTCTTTCCTCATTACTCAGGTTTAAAAACATAGGTTTCTTAAAAGATCAATAAAGTGGTTACTTCATTATATATAATCATATCACTCCCTAACACAATATAATTTATTGTGTGCTTACTGTCAAAGCCATTTTATAAAGAAAGCGCAATCTGGACCATATTACATAAAATACGTGCTGTTATGTTGCCTTTCATTTCATGCCAAAAATTCTAGAAAAAAAAATATTTTTAAAGGATTAGGACCACCAGATAAATCTAAGAAGTCATGGTCCTTACCACTGGCTAATTTAGCTCATTTAAACAATTTGAATTTTCCCACTTCCCTTGAAAGCCCAAAGGAAGACAATTTTGTCATGATAGTATGACACTAACTTATCTTTTGATGAGGGTATTAAGAGCAAGCAGTCTGATGTACTCAGGGTTGAATAGCATGCCCCAATTTTTGTTGACTAGTGACCTCTAAAACTTATTACATTTAAGCCCACTTAATATCAAGTCACCTAATGGAAGCACATTTTTTTCCACCAAATCATTTTGTACTAATTCAGTACAATTTTACCCATTTAATATCAATTGACACTAAATGATTTCCTGTGCAATGTCAATTGAAAATCACTGATTTCCTTCTAATACAGCACTTAGTGTCAATTTCTGTGTGTAGCAAAAGCATTTTTTCAATTAACTACACCATATAATTTTTTGTTTTTAGTTGTTTGCATGGACTGTCTGATAATAGTTTTATGAAACAAAGACATAAGAAGGAGAAAAAGATGACTTTCCTTTTTGGCATTAAGTAATTTAAATCTCATGATTTTATTTTCAGTCTATAGGAGGTCAAATAGCTCCTTGGAAAACTTTGAATTATATCAAGCAATGTGGTGGTAAATTGACATTAGCAGTAAATAGAATTCTGTAATTTGGCACGTTGCATATACTAAGCTATATATAGAAAATGTTTTGACTAATAAAAAACATCATAAGTTCCTCCTCTCATGATTTAGTTCAAGAAGATGTACTGTTGAATAATGATTAATGAAAATTATTCTTTCCTTTGTTAGAGGGATGAGCTCACTTAAATATCCTTATGCACTCTTACTAGAAAAGTGGTTTAACATTACCTCCACTAATTCATGAAAACTGGGAAAGCTGTGTGGACTAGCACAGCTAGGAGCAGCACAGCCGAAGCTGTTCTTTTGATTAGATAATATCGGGTTTACTCAGCAAACGCAAATATTTTCTTAATAATCTATACATCTCTTCATCATTCTGGATGATGATGGGTAATGAGGAAATTGGAGTAGATCCTGATTTTCTTAGAAAATTATGAAGGGATGTATGTAAATAAAAACAGAAAATTACTTAAAGCTGTATAGAAAATTTGTGCATATTGAATTTTTATTAAAGTACTAGGGTACTTAGCCAAACACTTTGTAGGATATCTGCCTAGATAAGGCATGACCTCTTCACATAACAGAGATTAACGTCTAATGAGAGAAAAGACTCATAAATGAGAAATCATTTAAAAACAATAAACTTTAAGTGATAAATTGTGGGACACGGTTTGTATATGGTACATATGTTTAGATTTTTAGGAATATCAATATATACCTAGAATACTCTAGGGTGACTCATTGAGCTGTACCCTGAAGGAAGCTTCTGGTTTAACGTGAAAATGAGGACAGAATCATCTCTCATGACGTTAAGTCTTTTTTTTCTTTCAGACTTCTTATACAGTTTGATGCCTCTTGTGTTGTTTGTCTCCCTATTGATGTTAGCTTCATTTTGGAATAATCTTAATTAGAAGACATTTTAGCAATAATTCAAACCAATATTTTCGAATGTGTACTAATTGACAGATATAATACTAGGAAATGAGCATGCAGAAAGAGGTAAAATATTACCCTTTCTCTTAAGGAACTTTAATCATAGGGGTGGAGTAATACATGTAAACAGATAATATTAAATAGCATTAATTTGATGGTGTACAACAATGTACTATGGGCAAACAAAGGAAGGGCACATATTCCAGCCTGATAATTCAAAGAAGACTTCTTGTTGTCTAAAGGGATGTCAGAAATGATGCTTGAAAGATGAATAGGAGATGTATAGACAGGGAAGGAAGGAGGATCTCTTCAGTCAAAGGGGACTATATGTATAAAAGCATGGAAATTATAAACATGGTATATGTGGGAAACCATTATACCCAAATGTAAGTGTATTTTACAAAGTTCCTATAATAATGTATGTACTGTTTTATAACAATTTCTCCGTTTAACACTATGTGCTAGTTGTTTTTCCCAGGTCCTTAATTATTTTTCATAGGACATTGTTTTCAGCTGCTATATGATACTCTGTCATATGTTGCAAATAGTTTTTTCTAAATTTATTGTTTGCCTTTTAGTTTCATTTGTTTTTGCTATACTGACCTTTCATTTTTATGTGTTCAAATATTCTATTTTTAAAAACCATATTACATTTTTTATGGCTTCTGCCTTTGCTTTTATGCTTAGGAAGACCTTCTCCAACCCAAGATAAGATTAAAAATTCTTCTGTATTTGCTTCTATTTCTTTTATGGTTTTATTGTTTACATATAACTCTTCAAACCATCTGGAATTTTATTTTGATATACAGTGTGAGATAGGCTCTAAATTTACTCTGTTCTAAATATTTAACCAGTTGTCTCAGCACCATCAATTGAAAAAAAATCTATGTTTTTCCCACTGATTTAAAATGCATTATTTATCATATGCTAAATACTTAATTTACAAATAGGCTTGTTTCTTGTCTTTCTATTTGATTTCCAGCCTATTTTTTCTCTTCAGTTCTATCAGTTTCTATATGGTTTACTAGGACTACACTATTTATTGTGGCTTTTACAATACAGTTTAAACCTGCTAATAAAAGTTTCTTTTTAGTATTTTTCATTTTAAAAGGTTACTGGCTATTCTTAACCAATTTTTTATAAGAGATTTAGAATTATTTAATCAAGGTCTCTCTACCACTGCCCCCCCCCTTCAATTTTATTGGACTTCTGAGAGTGGTTGCATTAAATTTATGAACTGTTTTAGGGAGAATTGACATAGAGGTTTCTCATCTGGAAGATGTCTTAATTTATTCAAAATTTTTTAACATTACTTAGAAAAACATTTTTTCCATATAAGTCTGACATTTTTCTTGTAGTGTTAGTTTCTATGTAGTTTTTATTTTTTATCATTGGTAATAAGAGATTGTTCTTTCCTTTGCATTTTTAAATGGCTGTTTTTGGTGTGTGTGTGTGTGTATGTGTGTGTGTATAGTAAACAAGCAGGTTACTGATTTATAAGTTCTAATTATTTCTTAATTTTTTTATTCTACTCCTTTCTCATGTTTATAGTTCATGTTAGGTGGTATTGCTGGAGCTTCCAAATTATAATAATAAGTGCTAGCAAGAGTTTGTTTTTCTCTTGGCTTCACTGGGAATACCACTAATGTTTTCACCATTAGGTGTAGTGTCAACCATTTTATAGGTAGATATTCTTCATTACATTAAAGAGTTTCATCATAGTTTATTAAGAGTTTTAAAATTAAGAATTGTGGTTGATTTTTATTGCATGCATTTTCAGCACTATCAAAATTATTGTTTTTAAAATCATACTTATATAAATTTATCATATATATTAGTAGATATTCTAATGGAAAACTTTCAACTTTCTTGGTCATCACAAATTATTTTTAATATATTGTTATATTTAACTCGCTGAGAAGTTTTGTATCCTTATAAGCAAAATTATCTATATTAATACTAATAGGAATACAATGTGAGCCATATATGCAATTTAAAATTTTCTTGTGACTACATTTTTAAAAAGTAAAAAGAAACAGATGAAGTTAATTTTAATAATGTATTTTATTTAAAACAATATAGCCAAGATATTACCATTTTAATATGTAATATGAAAATGTTAATGAGATATTTTAGAGTTTTTTATAGTAAGTTCTATAAATCTGATGCTTTACACTTGCATCCAGTCCTAATTCAATGGAGTGAAGTAACAGTGCTCAGTAGCCTCCTTTGCTGTACTGTTTTAGGCTTTTGCTAGCTTCAGAAAATGAATTTGGAAATATTTTGTTTTTGTTACTATGTTATGGGTTTATTTTGATCCTTGAAAACTTAATGAAATTCAATTTTCTATTAAAACTGGGGTTTAAGGAGATATTGGTCAAATGATATGACATTTCAATTAGGTGGAATAAGTTTAAGAGATCTGTTGTACAACATGATGACTATAGTTAATAATACATGTATTCTTGAAAAATAATGAATGGATGTTTACTCAGAAATAACTGTGAGGTAATACATGTGTTAATTAGCTAAATTTAGTTGTTCTACAAGGTATGTATACTTAAAAACATGTTATACATGGAAAATACATAGAATTTTATCTATCAATTTTTGAAAAAGGAAATTAAATAGAATTTGCTCTTGAACCACCTGTTTCTGGAACCTTTCTTAATTAATTTTTAAATTTATTGGCCTGTTAAAATTTTCCATTTATAGAGTCAATTTTGAAAATGTATATTTTCTTAGAAGATTATGTCCTGAGATTTTCAATTTTATTAGTATATATCTGTAACAGTATTTTGACATATTTTAATGCTTTCTGAATATTTGTAGTACATTTCTTATTCTTTATTTTGTATATTTATGCATTGTCTTCCATATGACTTGATTAACAAAATTGGGTAATTATTTACAGAATATTTTGTGAAGTAAGAATACTTTACTTTTATTAATGCAGAATCCAAAGGACTGCATGACACACCATAGGATATAGTCAAGAAGCCTTTGGACATGGGAGTTTCAAGCTCAAAGGAGAATTCATACCTGAAGAGAAATTTGGAAGCCATCAATACATTGGTAGTTGATAAGCTCATGAAAAGAGATTGCCAAAGGAAAATGTGTTGAATAGGAAGAGACAGAATATCCATCAGAGTGCCTGATTCAGTAGCATTGATTTCTTTTCTTTACTTGCCTTGTCAATAACACAATATTTTTAGTATAAATTTAAATGGAAAAATTTCCCTTAATGAAAGAACAAAGACTTTAAGCTTGTGTCAGAAAGGTAAAAGCTATTCACATTGTTTATTTTACTTTAGTCAATAATTTCCAATCTTGAAGATTATTTTGTAGAAATATTCAGAGACGTATGCAAAGATTTATCTGCAAGCATGTTTATCAGAACCATTTATAGTAGCAAAAATTTTTGACAGTACCTAAATGTCTAAATGTAGGAATGAATAAATGAATTATATTTCATTCTTACTATAGGATATTATGCAGTCATTAAAATACTATTTTAACACTTTTTTTAGAAAAGGTAATGCTATATAAAATTTAATATTAAGCAAAAATACTGAGATTCAAAACTTCTGATGACAAGTTTATTTTATATAACTATATTACACCTGGGAAGAAATGCCTGTGGTTGACAACAGGTGATTTTTTTTTTATATTGTTACTGTTGCTTTTTATTCTATTTTCCTCCCGCAATGTTTTTCATATAAAATTACTTTGAATTGTTTTTTGTTTATTTAATCAATATACACAGGTGATGAAAGGAGGGAGAATTGTTGGTAAAAAGAGGCACAGAGTCAAGGTAATGTTAGAATACAAATGATTTACATGTTTTGAAAAATAAAGAGCCAGCAGAGAAGACATTGAAGTCAAGCAGAGAAAAATGATAATTGTATAGAAAAGTCCCAGAGACTTCAAGGATTACCACATTTAGTACTTAGGTAAAGGGGTTGGTCTCAAGTAGAAGGCTAATGATAGTGGGTTGGTAGATACGTAAGTGAAACTATGACATGCTTTGAGTCCGTCTGATTGTCACAATAACTCTATAATGTAGGTCTTACTGTTTTACAGACCAATAAATTGAGTTTTAAAGATGTTAGGTGAAGAACAATTAAATTCTAGAAAACTTTGGTGAGATGGGGTCCAGCATTTGTACAGTTGAAGCAAATAAGGTATTTATATGTTATAGATGAAATGATTTCAAACTGCCAGGAGTTATTTGGTACAGATTGTCAGTAAGCACAGTACAGTGAACATGCATGAATTTGCAGAAAGTAGATGAGGGGAAATTGCCAGAAATAATCCTAGTCAAAATGGACCTTACCTAACTTACTTCAGTTTTCTCTATTTCTTGTTTTGACCCCCAAATTGAACATCGGTTATTTGTAAGCCTGTAAAAATACTCATTTCTGGGTCTTCAGTGTCTCTCATTAAATGTTGTTAGATGTGTAGACATATACCTGACTTCACATTTGCATCATTGTGTTTTTCTATTAATCCAAGCTTTAATCCATCCAATCAGCCACCTAAATTATGCTAAGGCAGTTACTTTGTGTTAGGCATTATTTTAGTACTGTATTTTAGTATATTTAGTATTTTTAAATATTTTATATATTTAGTATTTTAGTATATTTTATATATTTCTCTTATATTTAGAAATATAAGAGAAACTCCTTTATTTATGCAGACTGCCTAATTGTGATATTGTAGCAACTAAAATTTCATGTAGTAGGAAAATTGAGAAATATTTATGCAAATGATTCACATATGTGTTAAGCCTGGAAGCAAGAAAGTGGAGTTTTTCTTATTTAAACCCTTCATTTTACAGGGGAGGAATCCCAGGTCCACAGATACTAATTTTTTTCCTAAAGACATTATATTAAATAAGGCTTTCCTCAATTTGTATAATTTTTATTTTGTGATCCCATGAATCATTTTTTCTTGATATATGTAAATATTTCTTATTATATTTTATTACTTTTATTGTGGGAATCATACTTTTCCAACTAGAAAACCATTCCTTGCTATTTCATGTGAATCTTCATAATAATATCAAAGAATATACCTAAAGGAATATAAATCATTCTATTATAAAGACACATGCATGTGTATGTTCATTGCAGCACTATTCACAATAGCAAAGTCATGGATTCAACCTAAATGCCCATCAATGATAGACTGGTTAAAGAAAATGTAGTACATATACACCATGGAATACTAGGCAGCCATAAAAAGAATGCGATCGTGTTCTTCTCAGGGACATGGATGGATAGGGCTGTAAGCCGTTAGCCTTAGCGAACTAACAAAGGAACAAAAAACCAAATACCATATGTTCTCATTTATAAGTGGGAGCTAAATGATGAGAACACATGAACACATAGAGGGGAACAACACACACTGGGCCCATCAGAGGATGGAAGGTGGGAGGAGGGAAAGGATCAGGAAAAATAACTAATGGATACTTGGCTTAATACCTGGTTGATGAAATAATCTGTACAACAGACCCCCATGACACAAATTTACCTATGTAACAAACATGTACTTGTACCCCTGAACTTAAAATAAAAGTTAAAGAAAGAATAAGGCAAATTTTATAATTTTAAATCGATATATAATTTCTATTTTAGTAACAGTAGTTACTAGCGGTAACTACTACTACTAACAACAATTAAATTCAATTGTATTTTCTTAGTGAATATGTAGCTGCTATGTTGTTTAAATAATAATAGTGTTAGGGCATCTAAAAGGAAGTTTTATGTTGTACGGTCAACCCCTCTCTGTTGTGATTGAAGTGTATGAGGAAAGTTTTACTTTTCTAATGGCCTACTGTACAGTTCTTGAAATTCCCATCACTAGCAACCAGTTCTTTTCAAATGGACTGACTTGTTAAAATGCAAGAGGGATGTGAGGTATATGCTTTACTCTTTTAATATCCAGTGTGAGTTAATTTGTGGGATTGTTTTCCCAAAGCACCTATCCAAAAGGGGTGCCTTAAGGGAAAATGGGATTCAATAACAGGTAAGTTTTAATGAGGAGGATAAAAAGGTGGGTTGCAAGTATGGGGAAAATCCAAGGAATAACGTAGAGGTCTCTGAGTACCAGATGTATAATGAGGATAGTAGCCTGTTCTTCGTCCCATTATGGGCCTTATCAATTTATATTGCAGTTATGTTTCTCCCTCTCCACCTAGGTTGTAAGCTCTTCCGTGTCAAAGAAGGCCTAATACATCTATCAATAGCACTTACCATAGTTCCTGGAAAATAGTTAGGATTCAGTAAATATTTATTGGCTAAATAAAGGAAAAACTGGAATCTAGGAGTTCAAGATTATTACAAGGAAGAAAAAGGGAGGGTCTAAAGAAAACAGTCAGTCCTATTTTTGGCCTTGACCAACTTTGCTTTCTGCCAACAGTAGTCCTCTCATTTAGTCTTGCAAGAAGAGGTAAGCTACAAAAACTTTCCATATGCTATACATTAGACCATGTAGTATAGTTATGAAATGAGATATAGATATCAAATATAAATGATCAGTCTCAAAAATTATACAGTAAAATACATTTAACTTTGAAGTACTAGTCATTTAATACTTGACTCAAAAAGAGATAAAGAGATATAAGTTGGAATCATTGAAATCTTAAATGAACTTTTATGATTGAACTAGTTATGCTTGGAAGTACTGGTTAATAATATTCTGATTGTAAAGAACATTTTCTTTATTTTAGCATCATTTTTTCCTCTGAGTACACCAGTAGTGTAGTGTAAGAATCAAAAAGGAGAGAAAGAAAAGGGAGAAAAGTGGGGGAGGAGAATATAAAATTTGGACAGATTACAAGGAATTAAGTGAAGGGAAGGAACAATTTAAAAAAGGAAAAAAGTACAAAGAGTAAGGATTTGTTGAAAACTCCATAGTGTAAGAGTTTATTCAAGTTTGGATTTGTCAAAGAGAAGTATAGCATATTTCAATTCCTTATGGCAATCAAGACGGAAAGATGACTACGAGAGGGGATAGCAGAGACAGGGAAAGGTGAGAAACAGATGTAGAAGAAAAGAAGGTGATGCAGAACTGAAAAAGACACAGACATGAGAGCTGAGAAAGAACACATGGGGCACAGGCATAGAAAGATGGAATGAAAAACAAAACAAAAAAAGAGAGTTTATGGGATTCAACAGAATTGAATCTAGGCATATTGTGTAGTGCCAGCAAAGTTGAAACAAGCACAGTTTTACTGTGTAAGCTATGAATAGAAAGTAAACTGTCCATTTTTTAAAAAAAGATAGAAACCCTATTCTACATTGAACAACTTACTTCCTCTTCCTAGTTCTTTCTTCCATTTCTACCTGTTAAGGTTTCAATCTCTGTCCTTCTAGGCACAATTTAACTGTCATGCTTCAGTTAAAATGAATTCTTCCCTCTCTATTTATATAGTGCATTCTAACTCCAAGAGAACACTTAAATCTGTCTCACAGTAGAGTCATTGAAGGTTATCTCCTTACCTCACTATTTGTTCATGAGTCAGGGCTGGTCTCATTGTTTCTTCATCTTCATATTTTGTCTCAGCATCTCGCACAGTGTTTTGCATAATATAGGTGCTCAATAAATACTGCACTGAATGGAAAATACATATCAGATATCCAAAAGTTAAACATCCAAATATCCTTGTCATAGTGAAGGTAATATATTTATTCCAATGATTCTATCACTATCAAAGTTACTTACCTCTTTTGAAACTGCCTTTAGAAACTGCACAAAACCACCCAAGATAAATGGCTTTTATCATTTCCATAATATTTTTTAAATGATTGCCCATTTGGTGACTGAAAACAGATAGTTACAGCCTTAGAAAGATTAGTTTGAAGGGAGTAGAGGAGGCAAAGGACAACAAATTGGAGTAGATTGTAGAGTTGGAGGTGAAGAAATGAAGATAAGGGATTTCTATAACTATACAGGCCAGGTTTTGCTATGGCAATAAACTTGGCTCTGTCAGGTAAACATGGCTCTAAGTTACTCTTGACTATTTCTAAAAAGCAACGAAAATTAAAGAGCAGTTGTCAGTGAAAATATTCAAAATGATATGTTGTTGGCACTGAAGGTCAACATTGTTCGCACATTGTGCAATATTTAGAGCAATAGCTATACTGTTTAAAGAACTGTCTCCCAAGGCAACTACTTTGCAAAGAATAATACTCATTTTGGTTGCATAAATTTTCATTATGTAATAGACAGTTCCTTTTGTTTAAAAGTATGTTTTAGAATATCAACTTGAGTCTTTTTATATATGTTATTAAATAACTAAATTTTGTAAATAAATTATACTTTTAAAATTTTTATAAATAATACTTTTTCCATGTGGTAAACCATCATTCCTTAATTTATCTTTTTTACGTATCCTAAATTTTCAAAATTTAGGAATTTAAAAATGGAGATTGTCTGAACTATTATGTGAATAGATTCAAATCTTTTGAACAAATGTCTCAACTTTTTCTTCAAAACTGTTAATAAAGTGTCTTAAAGGCCAAAATGTTGCTAGTATTCAGAATAATTTTTCAAAATGAAGTGATTCCTAAAATTATTATGCTATGGAGTAAATTAAATATTTATCCTACCTGGAATAGCCACTTTCAAAATGTCTCCATTCAAATTTTTTTAAATTTTATTTATTTTTAACTAAGAAGAGCATTCTCAGTGGAAATGTATAAAATATTTTAACATAATATTTAGTTTGACAAATATACAAACATTTCCATTGTTACACTACACATATTTTAAGTAATGATGACTTATTTTGAGTGTGGGAGAGAGTAGATTGTTTGAATTATAAAAGTAGAATTTCTTGGTAGCAGAAGAAAAAGGATCCTTTTTACAGAACTCAGTTTATATAGCATAACACATGCAAATATGTTCATTTGAGAAAATATTCATGTTTGAACAGTGACTCAAGTTTGCATTCATTATATAAAAATTTTTAAATAAAACCTTTACAATGTAGGACATCATTGAAAAGAACAGCTTCATTACACATAAATATTTAACAGTATTTCTAATGTTGCGTATGTGTAGTTTTTTTACAAACTTTCTTAACTTTACGTGTATATGTGTACACACAGATACTATATATATGTATCTATGGAAATATACATACTACCCCAGTCTTTACAGTAAGCTTGTTATAGAAAGACAATGCGTTTTCAGTAAGTAAGCTTGCTTTTGTTTTTGCTGCTGAACTTCATATGTTTAGGCCTGATTTCAGTGAAAAATCAAGCTGACTAAATCCAAAATTCAAACATAAAGTTCTTTGTATTCATGCAAGCTATTATTCAGGAAAAGAACAATTAAGACTTTAACTTAGAAAACACTCTAAATTAAAAATGGCATTCCAAAAATATGAGGAAAGACTCAAGTAATACATAAAATTAGACTAGATGAAACTTGTCCATTAATGTAAATTAAAAGTTAAAGAAGTAACTAAAGGATAAAAAACCTACAGTCCATGGCTGTATCCTGCCTTTTACTCCATCTAACAGCCTGTAAAAATTTAAATTAACTCACAGATCTAACCAGTAGGACATTCGATCGTACAAAGTTATACCATAGCAATAATGTTCTGCCTCATAGTGGTATTAAAAGAAATTTCTGTTTAATAGAAGGGAAGTCTTTCATTTATAATAAAGCTATTCAATGTAGAGTCAATCCAACAAAAATGTTTCAATAAATGTTTAAAAGACTTACAATGTAAGCATAAATGGAAGAGAATAGGTATTATATGTGTGTGTGTATAGAGTATATGTACAATATGTTTATTTAAAGTAGAGATGAATAAACATGAAGAAGCAAACTAGATTTACATATGAGGCAGGGGAGAGACTATAATGAGTACAGTACAATAAAGTCTCTAGATTTTATCTTTTATCATCCTCAAAAAAGACAATTAAATGTTTTAAAAAGGAAAAGAAAGAAAATGTTTCTTCCTTGAACTGCTTTAAGATTCCTTTACTTGAAGTTAAAAACTGTAGCTGCCATAACTAGTTGGGCCATTAGTTTATCTAAACCTGTCTAGACCTGACTGTAGTGTTTCCCATTATATGCCTCTGAATTAATTATCATTTGCAAAGATCTGAAACCTTTGTCACTGAAGCTACTTTCATGGGATTTAACAAAACATTTTGAACTGTTGTGAAAATACTGAGGCTAAACTGTTGGTTGGCTGCTATTGGTATTACGTTTGGTAATTTATAGGTGTAGCATAACCATGCTCACACATATATCAATTTTAAAATATAATTTGTCTTTTTGAATAAGCAATAAAACACTAAAGCCTGTATTACATAAGAGCCTGGGTACTTCTGGTGGCTCAAGACATTTGGGTTTCAGCTTTTTGCTTGAAAATACATTTGAGGAAGTGCAACTAATCCTACGCAGAGTTGTGCTGCCCAGGAATGTCTTGTTCTTCCACTCTTAGAGGAAAGAGCAAATACTTCATTTCCAATCATGCTGTCTGCTTCTTGCATACACAGTTCAAAAATCCTTTTCTGTTAGCTGGACTGTTCTGCATTTATCTCCTGAATTTTTGTTGTTCTTATTTTTGTGGAAGCATTTTATTTCTTCTCTAATTATTTCTAACTTTTCTCTGCATTTGTCTTCCCTAGTTTGCTCAGTTTTTCCTTTTACTACCTCTTCGGAGTTCTCTGTCCAACCAAGATTTTCTTTGCAGTTTTATGTAACCACATTGGCTCTTATTTTGGTTTTGGATGTCTGTAACTTAGGAAGAGACTTCTCTTTATTGTCATTAATGTTCCTCAGACATCTTCCACCTGCATTCAGTATATATCCAGACTTTATTTCACATTCTTTCAAATTCTCTTTCCACCCTCAGTCCATTAATTTTGTAATATAACTTTTATATGAAACAAATGTTCCTAGGTACAGCAAAGACTAAAAGAACGAATAAAGTACTTAGATGTCCGCTAATTTTTCATGAGTCTAATGTTAACATTGAGACCATTTCAGTATGTATTAAGTCTGCAACTTCCTTTTTTATTGTATATACATAATATTTGCTGCTTGAAGCACTAAAACATAGGACATGCACTAAATTCTTCAGGGAGCCCTGCATCACATACTTTTGTTCACTAAATCCCAGGTAATTATAAACCTCATTTTGTTTAAAATACCATGATTTCACTTGGTATAATTCATTCAATGCAGTTTTCTTTTTACCTCAAAACAACCCCTGAATATGATCATAAATTATTTGTCAACAAATTATTTAGGTTCAAAATTAATCCATCTAAAATTTTTTCTCTGTCAAGATGAAGGGCAGATTTAAACTGCTATATAAACAGAGAGGGGTAACAACAACATTGGGAAAAATTAGATTTTTTCTTTTCTTGTGGCAGCACTTAAAATATTTAGTCAGGGTAGGTAAAGTATAACTGAGCAAATTGCTGAATTTCAAACCATAAATTGATGTCGGGTACAAAGGACAAAAAAATCACACAATCTGGAGGGGAGAAAAGTTAACACTGTATTAAAATTGTCAAGCAACTTCTAAAGTAGATGAACTGCCTTCATAATATTCTCAGAACAAAATGTTCTCCAAGAGCAGATCTGATATGAAGAGCCAAAAAAATGAAAAACATTCACTACCAATTTACTGCAGTCACCCATAAACTATTACAAGAACATTATGTATTAGGGTTCAAGCCAGCAAGCTATTAAAGCAGACTGCCCTGGTGTCTTTTCATTTTACTTTAATGCTACCGAAGCATTAATAACTCTTCAAGGAATTGTAGTTATGTTGAAATTATCTTATCTCATAATCAATTTTTCAAATATTCCAAGTCTTTTAAGGTGAGCTCTGTTTCTTTGTTTCTTGTTGGTCAGTGTTGTTCCACTTTCACAAATGCGATCATCATTTTTTTTGTCTAGTCCAATTCTTACTTTCATCTTGGGAACATATCAATCTAAATGGTGCTAATTGCCATAGTTAATGAATGCCAAGCCATCTAGCACCCTTGGCCCCATTGCCACTTTATGTGTCTCTGCTCATGTGGAGATCAAAGAACAAAAGATGGAAATAATCATATTTAAAAAATTAAGTAGATGTCACATATACACCTTTTTTGGTTTGTTGTTTTTTCAACTTTGGGAGAATAAATAATCCTGCTGAAATTACTTTTCGTTATAGTCTGTGGTTAATTTTATCTTGTTAAAAAATTTTCTAACTAAACCTTTTTTTTTTATTTAAAGGATAGCAATGATACTATGGCAAAGCATGATTAACCCAATGATCTAACTCTTTAAACACACTAATCACTGTTTTTCCTTGGTGGCATAAATTCCAGGCAACTGAGGCATCTTTCAGTCTTCTTTACTAATGGAAAATATTAGCACATATAAACTTGGTACAAAATTAGAAGTCCTGGTAACTTCATGCATACAAATCAGCAGTGATTCAATGTGCAACTTTAAGAGATTAAAAAAACAACAACAAAAATCCTTAGGCATAAACAGGATTAAATTTGGAAGAAGTCATTGAAAAGTAAATTTCAAGAAACTGGGTGTTTCTTGCCAGCACAGAAATAACCACAATTTAGTAACATTATCTGAAAGTAAATATTCATATATTTGTGTGATTATTTAGTATGTGCATATGTGTTGTATATATGTATGTGTATTTGTATTTCTACCTCAATTAGACTGTAAGATCCATGAGGCATCCTTCATTTCATTACCATTATATCTCCAATTCCAGCACAATGTCTGAAACACAGCATTTACTCAACACATATTTGATAAAGAAACTATAGTGATGATACAAATGAAATTGTATATAATTTAACTTTTTAAAATCCTTAATATGAAAGAAATTGTGAGAAAGCATTAATGATAACATACTTCCTCAATAGGTAGTTCAATTCACATCTCTCTGTGACAGCATTTTTTTTGATCTATCTAAATAAAAATTGCCATCTTTAAACTATTAATTTATACTATAAATTTTTCTTAAAAAGATTTACCAATGATAGTTTAATGGAAATAGCATTGAATCTATAAATTACTTTGGGCACTATGGTCATTTTTGTGATATGAATTCTTTCTATCCATGAACATGGAATGTTTTTCCTTTTGTTTGTGTCCTTTCTAGTTTTCCATGAGGAGTGGTTTGTAGCTGTCCTTGAAGAGGTCCTTCACTTCCCTTGTCAGCTGTATTCCTAGGTATCTCATTGTTTTTGTAGCAGTTGTGAATGGGAGTTCATTCATGATTTGGCTTTCTGCTTGCCTGTTGTTGGTGTATAGGAACGCTAGCGACTTTTGCACATTGATTATGTATCCTGAGACTGCTGAAGTTGCTTATCAGCTTAAGAAGGTTTTGGGCTGAGATGATGTGCTTTTCTAGACATAGGATCCTGTTATCTGCAAACAAAGATAATTTAACTTCCTCTCTCCCTATTTGAATATGTTTATTTCTTTCTCTTGCTTGATTGCCCTGGCCAGAACTTCCAATACTATGTTGAGTAGGAGTGGTGAGAGAGGGCATCCTTGTCTTGTGCTGGTTTTAAAGGGGAATGCTCCCAGCTTTTGTCCATTCTGTATGATATTGGCTGTGGGTTTGTCATATATGGCTCTTACTATTTTGAGGTATGTTCTTTCAATACCTAGTTTATTGAGAGTTTTTAACGTGAAGGGATGTTGAATTTTAAAATTCATATGGAACCCAAAAAGCACCCAAAAAGCAAAGACAATCCTAAGCAAAAATAACAAAGCTGCAGGCATCATACTACTGGACTTCAAACTACACTACAAGGCTACAGTAACCAAAACAGCATGGCACTGGTACAAAAACAGACACATAGACCCATGGAACAGAATAGAGAACTCAGAAATGAGACCACATGCCTACAACCATCTGATCTTCGACAAACCTGACAAAAACAAGCAATGGGGAAAGGATTCCCTCTAATAAATGGTACTGGGAGAACTGGCTAGCCATATGCAGAAAATTGAAACTGAACCCCTTCTTTACACCTTATACAAAAATTAACCCAAGATGGATTAAGGACTTAAATGTAAAACCCCAAACTATAAAAACCCTAGAAGAAAATCTGACAATACCAGTCAGGATGTAGCCATGGGGAAGGATTTCATGACAAAAACGCTAAAAGCAATTGCAACAAAAGCAAAATGACAAATGGGATCTAATTAAACTAAAGAGCTTCTGCTCAGCAAAAGAAACTATCATCAGAGTGAACAGACAACCTACAGAATGAGAGAAAATTTTTGCATTCTACCCATCTGACAAAGGTCTAATATCCAGAGTCTACAAGGAACTTAAACAAATTTACAAGAAAAAACAAACAATCCCATTAAAAAGTGGGCAGAGCACATGAACAGACACTTCTCAAGGAAGACATTTATGCAGCCAACAAACGTGAAAAAAGCTCAACATCAATGATCATTAGAGAAATGCAAATCAGAACCACAGTGAGATACCATCTCATGCCAGTCAGAATGGCAATTATTAAACAGTCCAGAAACAACAGATGCTGGTGAGGTTGCGGAGAAAAAGGAATGCTTTTGCACTGTTGGGGGGAGTGTAAATTAGTTCAACCATTGTGGAAGACAGTGTGGAGATTCTTCAGAGATCTAGAGGCAGAAATACCATTTGACCCAGCAATCCCATTACTGGGTATATACCCAAAGGAATATAAATCATTTTATTATAAAGATACATGCACGTTTATGCCAATTGCAGCAGTATTCACAATAACAGAGACATGGAATCAACCCAAAAGCCCATCAGTGATAAACTGGATAAAGAAAATGTAGTAAATATATATCATGGAATACTATGCAGCCATAAAAAGAAATGAGATCATGTCCTTTTCAGGGACATGGATGGAGCTGGAAGCCATTATCCTCAGCAAACTGATAGAGGAACAGAGAACCAAACAACACATATTCTCACTTATAAGTGGGAGCTGAACAATGAGAACACATGGACACATGGGGAGGGGGACAACACATACTGGGGCCTCTCAGGGGTTTGGGTTGGGGGAAGTGAGAGCATCAGGAAGAATAGTTAATGGATGCTGGGTTTAATACCTAGGTGATGGGTTGATCTGTGCAGCAAACCACCATGGCACACATTTACCCACGTAACAAACTTGCACATCCTGCACATGTACCCTGGAACTTTTGAAAGTTGAAAAAAATATTTATCAGTCCAAAATAACTTTATTTATGTATCTTATAGGAATGAAACAATATGTTTCTTTATTTGTGCACAAAACATATTTTATATTGCTTAATTAGCTGATCTAGAATATGTTTTTTTGTATAACTATTATGTAATTAGTCACATTCCAATCAAACTTACATTAAAATGATAAGCAATGATTTCTACTTGCATAGCATATAGGGCATCTGAGACCCACCACACAGCAAGTAAGACCACAACTATTGCTAAACTTCTCCTCACTCCTTCCATGATTTATTTCCTCATAACAGAACTACAAATGTGATGTCATTAAAACAGTCAATAAGGTTTTCAGCGAAATAGCTTTTCTTAGCCTTTTATAAAGTGACAGCCACTTTATAAGTTTATGGGTGAGGCAATGCAGTGAAGAGCTTGTTTTGTTGTCTTTTGTATTGTCTTGTCTTTCTCCTTGACATGTTGCTTAAGCTAGTGTTTTAATGAGAAAAGTACTCAAATGAAAAACAAACAATAAGGAAACAAAAAACAAAAAAGACACCGATAATCATAGATGCTTTGATAAACAGACACTTTGAAATTTAGAGCAACCCTTCTACGTTAACTAGTATACCCTAAGATCCATAAGAGCACTTTTTGGTTCATCGCTACATCTCCTAGCAGACTAAGAGCCTAGGAGATTGTATAATTCACAGAAAAAAACTCAATAAAAATATTTATTTATTATTTTTATTTTTAATTTTTGTGGATACTTAGTAGGTATATATATTTATGGGGTACATGAGGTATTTTGATAGAGGCATGCAATGAGTAATAATCACATAAGAGTAAATGGAGTATCGAGTATCCACCACTTCAAGCATTTATCCTTTGTAGTACAAACAATCCAATTGTACACTTTTAGTTTTTTTAAAATGTACAATTAAATTATTTTTGACTATAGCCATTCCATTGTGCTAGCAAATACTAGGTATTATTTAATCTTTCTAACTATTTTTAACCCATTAACCATCCCCACTTCTCCCCCTACCCCAAACAACTATCTTTCCCAACCTCTGATAGCCATCCTTCTCTTTATCTCTATGGTTCAATTATTTTAATTTTAGCTTCCACAAATAAGTTCAAACATATCAAGTTTGTCTTTCTGTGCCTAGCTTATTTCACTTAACCTAATAATTTCCAGTTTATCAATGTTGTTTTAAATGACAGGATCTCATTCTGTTTATGGCTGAATAGTACTGCATTCTGTTTAAATACTGCATTTTCTTTATCCATCTGTTGATGGATACTTAGGTTGCTATTATAAATATCACTGCAATAAACATAGGAGTGCAGATATATCTTCAATATACTCATTTCCTTTCTTTTTAGTGTACACACACACACACACACACACACATATAGGGATTGCTGGATCTTATGGTAGATGTTTTTAGTTTTTTGAGGAACTTCCAAACTGTTCTCCATAGTGGTTGTACTAATATACATTTCCACCAATAGTGTACAAGGGTTCCCTTTTCTCCATGTCCTTGCCAGCATTTGTTACTGTCTTTTGGATCAAAGCCATTTGATCCGAAATGTGTCTTTGTTGTGCCTTTTTCTGATTTGAACATTAGGGTAATACTGTCAAATATAGAATGAGTTAGAATGTATTTCCTCCTCCTCTGTTTTTCAGAGTATTTGAGTAGGATTGGGTGTTCTTTAAAGGTTTGGTAAAATTCAGCAGGGAAGCCATCAGGTAGTGGGCTTTTATTTGCTAAGAGACTTCCTATTATGGTTTTGATCTCATTACTTGTTATTGGTCTGCTCAGGTTTTGGATATGTTCCTGGTTCAATTTTAGTAGCTTGCATGTGTCTAGCAATTTATCCATTTCTTCCAAATTTTTCTATTTCTTTCTATATAGCTATTTATAGCAGCCACTAACGATCCTTTAAATTCTGCGGTATCAGTTGTGATGTCTCCTTTTACATCTCTGATTTTACTTATTTGGGTCTAAAAGTTTGTCAATTTTGTTTACCTTTTTTTAAAAAACAACTTTTTGTTTAGCGATCTTTTGTATTATTTTCTTCATTTTCTACTCATTTATCTCTAATCTTTATTATTTATTTTCTTCCACTAATTTTGTGTTTGATTTGCTCTTGCTTTTGAAGTTCTTTAATATGCATCACTGGGTTGTTTATTTGAAGTTTTTCTATTTTTTCATGTAAGTACTTAAAGCTATAAACTTCCCTCTTAGTACTGCTTTTGCTGTATCCCATAGATTTTGGCATGTTGTGTTTTTACTATCATTTGTTCCAATAAATCTTTAAGTTTCCTTCTTAATTTACTCATTTACCACTTGTCATTCTGGAACATATTGTTTAATTTCCATGTGTTTGTATAGTTTCCAGAATTCCTCTTGGTATTCATTTCTGGCTTTATTCCATTGTGGTCAGAAAAGGTGCTTGATAATATTTCAATTTTTTGAATGTCTTAAGACTTGTTTTGTGACCCGACGTATGGTCTATCCTTGAGTATGAACTATGTGCTGAGGAAAAGAATGTTTATTCTGCAGCTGTTGGATGAAATGTTCTGTAAATATCTATTAGATCCATTTGGTCTATAGCACAGATTAAATCTGAAGTTTCTTTATGGATTTTCTGTCTGGAAGATCTGTCCAATGCTGAAAGTGGGGTGTTAAAGTCTCCAACTATTATAGTATTGGGGTCTATCTCTATCTTTAGCTATAAAAATGTTTGCTTTGTAAATCTGGATACTCTAGTGTTGGGTACCTATATTACAATTGTTATATCCTTGTGCTCAATCAACCCCTTTATCATTATGTGGTGACCTTCTTTGTCTCTTCTTATAGTTTTCATCCTTGGAATCTATTTTGCCTGGTCTAAGTGTAGCAACTCCTGCTCTTTTTTAGTTTCCATTGGCATGGAATATCTTTTCCCATCCTTTTATTTTCAGTCTGTATGTGTCTTTATAGGTATTGTGTGTTCTTATAGGCAACAGATCATTGGATCTTTTTTGTTTGTTTGTTCATTCATCCACTTTGTGTCTTTTGATTGGAGAGTTTAGTTCATTTACATTCAATGTATTCTTGATAAGTAAGAACTTACTCCCGCCATTTTGTTTTTTGTTTCCTGGTTGTTTTGTGGTCTTCTCTTCCTTCTTTCCTTTCTTCCTCTTTTCTTTTCGTGAAGATGATTTTCTCTGGTGATATGATTAATTTCTTGCTTTTTACTTTTTGTGTATCCATTGTATTTTTTTAAAGTTTAAGTTACCACAAAGCTTGCATCTACTATCTTATAAGCAATTATTTTAAGGTGACAACAACTTAACACTGTTTGCATGAACAAACAAACAGGCAAATAGAAAACTAAGAAAAACTCTACACATTAACCTTGTCCACTAGCTTTTAAACTTTTTATTATTTGTACTTGTATCTTACTGTACTATGTCTCAAAAAGTTGTATTTATTTTTTTTATCGGTTCATCATTTACTCTTTGTACTTAAGAGATAGCAGTTTATACACTGCAGTTACAGTATTAAAATGTTCTGTGTTGTTCTGTGTATTTACTATTACCAGTGAGTTTTGTACTGTTAGATGATTTTTTTATTGCTCATTAACATCCTTTTTTATTTGATTGAAGTACTCCCTTTAGCATTTCTTGTAGAACAGGTCTGGTGTTGATGAAATCCCTCAGCTTTTGTTTGTCTGGGAAAGTCTTCATTTCTCCTTCATGTTTGAAGGATATTTTCACCAGATATGCTATTCTAGGGTAAAAGATTTTTTCCTTCAGTACTTTAAATATTACCTGCCACTCTCTGCTGGCCTATAAAGTTTCCAGTGAAAAGTCTGCTGCCAGATGTGTTGGAGATCCATTGTATGTTATTTGTTACATTTCTTTTGGTGCTTTTAGGATCCTTTTTTATCCTTGATCTTTGGGAGTTTGATTATTAAATGCCCTGAGGTAGTCTTCTTTGGGTTAAATCTGCTTGGCATTCTATAACCTTCTCGTACTTGGAATATTGATATATTTCTCTAGGGTTGGGAAGTTCTCTGTTATTATTCCTTCGGATAAACTTTCTACCCCTGTCTCTTTCTCTTCCTCCTCTTTAAGGCCAATAATCAGGTTTCCTGTTTGAAGCTATTTTTTAGATCCTGTAGGTGTGCTTCATTGTTTTTTATTCTTTTTTCTTTTGTCTCATCTGATTGTATATTTTCAAATAGCCTGTCTTCAAGCTCACTGATTCTTTCTTCCGCTTGATCCATTCTGCTGTTAAAGGACTCTGAGACATTCTTTAGTAGGCCAATTGTATGTTAAAGCTCCAGAATTTCTGCCTGCCTCTTTTTAATTACTTTATTCTCTTTGTTAAATTTATCTGATAAAATTCTGAATTCCTTCTCTGTGTTATCTTGAAATTAATTGAGTTTCCTCAACACAGGTATTTTGAATTCTCTGTCTGAAAGGTCACACATATCTCTGCTTCTCCAGCATTGGTCCCTGGTGCCTTATTTAGTTCATACGGGGATGTCATGTCATTTCCCTGGATGGTGTTGATGCTTATAGATGTTTGTCCAGGCATTGAAGAGTTATGTGTTTATTGTAGTCTTCACCTTCTGGGTTTATTTGTAGCCGCCCTTCTTGGAAAGATGTTCCAGATATTTGAAAAGACCTGAATGTTGTGATCTAAGAAATATCTACTTTAGGGGCATCCCAAGCCTAATAACACTGTGGTTCTTGCTGATTTATAGAGGTATAAGCTTTATGGTCTTGGCTAAGATCTGGGAGAATTCTCTTGATTACCAGGCAGAGACTCTTGTTCTCTTTCCTTGTTTTCTCCCAAGAATACAGAGTCCTTCTTTCTCTGCTCTAAGCTATGCAAAGCTCAGAGTGACCCAAGCTCCTTTGCAGGGTGGAGTAACCCAAGCTCCCTTGTGGCCATCACCACTATGACTGTGTTGGGTCAGACCTGAAGCCAGCACAGCAGTGGGTTTCACCTAAGGCCTGATGTAACTGCTCCCTGGCTACTGCCTATATTTGCTCAATGCCTGAGATTCTACAATCAGTAAGTGGAAAAGCCAGCCAGGCCTGTGTACTTCTCTTCAGGACAGCAAGGACCCCCAGGTTCCACATGGGTCCAGAAGTACCATCTGTAGCAGTATTTTTACAAAGTAGTAGAAAACCTTCCATACTCCCTTACCAGAGAAAGGTAAAGGTCAATGCTCATTGTTTTGTTTTTTGCTTAGTGGGACAAAAGTAGGAAAGGAAAGACAAAACTTTGATAATTAACCAAAGCTAATTACCTTTTCGAATAAGTCGGCACTTAGTAAAATGTAAAACAAAAGAAAAAATACATAATACTGTCTTAGTTTATTTTGTGTTGCCATAACAGAATACCACAGACTGGGTAATGTATAAAGAAAAATTTATTGCTCACTGTTCTCGAGGCTGTGAAGCCCTATAAAAGGGTGTTGGGCATCTAGTGAGGGCCTTTTTTCTGTATCCCAACGTGGTAGAAGGCATCACATGGTGAAAGAGCTCATCAAATGGGGAGCAAGAAAGAGCCAAACTTGCTTTTATAACAAAGCTACTGCTGTGATAACATTAATCCATTCAAGAGTGTGGAGCCCTCATGACCTAATCATCTCTCAAAAGTCCCACCTTTCAACACTGTTGCATTGGAGATTGAGTTTCCAACACATGAACTTTGAGGGATACATTCAAATCACAGTAAATACCTAGTCATCTCAGGAAGAGGAAGCTGGTGTAGAGGCACATGAACATGCACATATGTAACCTCTACTTGCCAGCTCTGGACTAATAATGTGATAGAACGTAATTATTTTACTGGATTTATTCTCACTGCCTGAAAGGGGATGAGAAAGCATTGTTGGGAGAATAGGTATGTAGGAGAAACTAAGCACCTGGGCTTATTGGCTTTGTTAAAGCAAAATTTTAGTCCTGGAATAAAAGCTTACAGGATAAGTCAATCTGAATTCAGATGGGGTGGGGAGAGTGGCAAAGAGTTTTTACTCACACAATTTTTAACCATATAGATTAAGGGCTATATAGTGATTGTACATTCAAATGAGATGACATAACTGTAAAAATAATACAGAACAAAAATATATAGCATTAAAAAAATTTGAAGAATACATTCCAGAAGAAAACATTATCCAAGAAACAGAAGAAAATTCAAGAACAAGAAATATAAATAACCCAGTAGATAATGTTCAAAGGATCTAAAAACATAATTCATAAAAATATGTGTCCAATAACGTATAAAAATATTCAATCTTACATACACACATACTAAGTTTCCTTATCAGATTGACAAGGTTTTACAAATTAGATAATATTCATGGTTTGTGAGCATATAGGAAATATACAGGATTGGTGGGAGCATAAATAGTGTAAATTACTTAGAAAGCAGCTGAGAAAGAACTCTCACTTTTTAAAATGTAGGTACATTCTACTAGCAGAAATTTGTATTACAGATATACTTTGTTTAAATCTTGCTTTCTATGCTTGTAATGACCTGATTTATCTCCTACCAAGAAAAAATGTTTGCCATTACATAGATCAGGGACAGGGAGGAGTAAGTTACTTCTAATACCAAGGAAATACAAAACTTACAGAAGTGGATCTAGATTTTAGTCCACACTTTTTCATTAAGTTACTTTTATATTAGACATTTATCTTTCCTCTCTAGGACTGTTTTTTCATATGTAAAATTATGTTTAGAATTTTTAGATTATTGAATGATCCTTCTATCTCTCAAACATTGTTCACGATTACTTACAAAAAGATGTTCTTTATGTTTTAGCTGCTTATTATCAGGAGCATTTTTATGGTTATTTTTCTAATACCAGTTGAATATTGATGATACATCTCATCTAATAGAAACATATTTTCTCCTAGCCCTGCCTTTAACCCTCAGCATACAGATTACAGGGCAACTGTAGGGAAACAAAGGAAAGGGCTTGAACTCAAGGTTCTTCCAAATCCCCTTGGTGGATGACAGTGCCATTAAAAGAGACGGGAATAACAGAAAAATATCATTTTGGAGTGAAGATTTAAAAACTGCAGTTTGATATGTCATAAGTTGAAGTATCTATGGGGCATTCAGCTAAAGATATTCCATAGTCAGCAGTATGTATACAACTGGAGAGATATAGAAGAGCTGTGATAAGGGCAGGAGCTACAGACTTGAGAGTCATCAAAATAAAGGTGATGTTTGAAGTTGAAGATGTGAATATAATCACTCAAGGAAAAGGATGATGTGAGAGCAAGAGACTGTTGGAAAGCAGAAGAAGAACCCATATATAGGGTCAAGAAGAAGCAGAAGAGCCTGCAAAGGAAGAGAAAAGGGCAGGAGAAGAGCCAAAAAGTATGAAGCCAGTGAGAGGACAGTGTTTTTGAAAGAAAGGAGTTGTCAAGAATGTCAAAACATCTGAGATATAAAGTAAGGTCAAGTCAAAATATATTCAATTGGATTTGACCGTCTTGTGATTTGCGATCTTGGTGGGAATAATTAAATTATGTTATAAGGGCAGAAGTCAGTTTTCAGTGGACTGTAAACAGGATGAGGGGTAAAGAAGTAAAAACTCTCTTCAAAGATTTGACTAGAAATAATAGAGAAGAAAGTGGTAACAGAGCAAATCTTCAAAAAAGGATTTTCTTTCTTTTCTATTGTATGCTTATTTTTATGTATATTTGATGGGAGATAATCATGCATGTTTATATGCTAAGAAGAAAGAACTTATAAAGAATAAAAAGTTGAGCATATAAGTGAGAAAAAGGGATAAGTAATAGAACACAGAGCGATTGTTAAATAAGTATTCATTGAACAGCTTATTATGAGTAAAGTCCTGAAGAATGAGTTTGATGACATTTAAAAAACACATAAAACACATTGTTTAAAATATTCTCTAATTTCTGTTTTTTCTCTTTCTCTTTTTTTTATTTCAGAAAATGGTATTTCCTCCTTATTCAAAAGGAGTAGACATAATTGGCAAATTAAGTGATAAAATATATAGAGGACAAGTATTTCCAGAAGAAGTTGAAGTCATAAAGGATATTTCACTTGATTTTATCAAAACATATTTTTTTAGACGACTCAAGAAAAAGTAAAGGAATCTCAGAATTTTACTTAAAACATACTGACTATAATGTAATTACAGTGTCTTAATGAAAGAACAGACTTTGCACAATGAGAAGTAGAAAGAAATATAGATAGAACTATTTTGCAGAAAAATAACAAATACTCCTATTCTCATCATTAAGTTTACTAACAATCTGAAAGACTAAACTCAAAAGGGATTTTCTGGTATTGCTACATTAAATCAGAAAAGAAGTTACCTCGAGTTTTTTTTAATAAAAAGAAACAGCTAAATCAGGTTAAACTAAAAAGATTTCAAATGAATATCTAAGGGAACAAATAGTGAAAAGTCAGTAGACAGCAGAAACTTGGAATGTATTAGTACCAAAACGCTAAACAAATATTAGGCTATTAAAACACTAAGAATTAGATGTGTTGCCTTAAAAGGTACTTAGTTCCTCCAGCCTGGTATGTCTCAGTGGCCACTTGATGCTGTAGAAGAGGCTCAGGTGCCAGGTGCATGATAGGGGTAGGTGGGCTCTAAGGTGCCCTTCAGCTCCATTTTGCTACGGTTATATGATTCTTTGAGATACTTTGCTAAAACATAAAGGCACAATATATTTTTGCCAAGGAGGAAGATAATGTTCTGACCAAGAAATAATATTCAGGGGAAAAAAAAGAAGTGCCATGATTTCACATATTTCAAGCTTTACTAAGGACAAATGGTTATATATATATATATATATATCCAACTGGATAAATTTTATGACTATATTTAATTAATATGAGCACATTTTAGAGTGGAGAAAACAAAGACTTCATTCATCCAGCAAATATTTATTCAGTACCCGAAGTGCTAGAAACTATATGAGGGTAGTAAATAAAATAGAATATTCCTGTCCTACTATGGAGGGGGAATGGAGAGGGAGTGGAGGAATAGATGATAAACAAACAAACAAACAAGCAAACTAGTTCATTGTACATAAAGAAGTTATTTTTTTCTGACAGTAACTAACAAAGGTCTGGGCAAGAATCAGAGGGTGACCATTTTAAGAGGTGGTGTTTCTGTTGAGACTCAAATGATAAGAAGGATCCAGTGATGCAGAAATCCAGGGCAAGGAATAGGATGTTTGAAGCCTCCATAGAAGAAAAGCATTTTATAGTAGATCAGAAAGCAATAACAAAAAAGAAAAAAGAAAAAAAAAACATTTGGCAATGTCTAGGAACAAAAAGGACATTAACGTGGGTAGAATGCTGTGAGCTAAAAAGAGAGTAGATTGAAATGAAGTTAAAGAGAAATGGAGAGACAGACCTCATAGAATTTTGCCCTAAATGAAATGGGAAGCCAGGGAAGTATGACACAGTCCCATAATAAACCTGCTTCTGGTGCAGAATGGATTGGAATTATCAAGGCAGTTAGTGAGGAATCCAGTTAGAAGGTGAATACAGTGGTTCAGTGGTCCAGGATGGAAATCACAGTGACCTCAACTAAGAAGGCAGCAGTAGAGGTAGAGAGAAGTTGATAGATTTGTCAGTTAAGTCCTGAATCACCTTGATTGTTACCTACTCTCTCTCTTTGGTTCTTAATTTTGTCTTCTGTAAACTGGGATTAATTATATTAATGCAAAGAGATGTTCAGAACATGATTTGAGACAAGACATGAGTACCTGACATAAGGTAGGATGCAGTAAATCTCAGTTCTTTACAAATAACTTATTTTAAAATAATGTCCATTCCAAGTTCAAAATAGTAATAGCAACTAAACATCTAGTCAGATATAAACTGTTTGGTTTTCAAACATGTGTATAATTTCCTAGATAAAGGAAAACATTTAAATGTTTTCATGATATATTTGGGGTCATTAAAAATTTATACAGATAAATTTATACAAATAAATACAAATACACATACAATAAATACAAATACAGATAAAATGTATACAGATAAACCCAATGACCAATTAATTACAACAAAAAAATAAAATCAAGAGGTGGAAATTTTTATTTAATTGAGGTTCAGCCACATTCTATTAAACCTTTTCTAAATGTATTAATTTAAAAGTGAAGAATTGAAAACAAATTTTCAGGGTAAGAATCCCTCTCCTTTGAAATGGGGTTGTTGGCTTGAATACAATGACTACCCACTTTCCCTCTGTCTCTGCTTCTCCTTCATAAACAGGCCCACACACACACATACACACACTCATACACACACATAACTTTTAGTAACTCTGTTTAACATTTGGAAAGAAATGGCTGGCATGTTGAAGGGGGATAAGTAAATAAGTTGCATGAACTGTATATAAATGAACTTACTTAAAATTCTTTAAACAGAAATTTCAGTACCATAGAGATCCTTGAAATGAAGACAGATAAATCTGACCAATTATAGCCAAATATCTCTTGCTAAAAATTTAGAGAAACTTTCTATGAAATGATTTGTAAATAAAAATCTTAATCCAAAATTATATTATAAATATGTCTTCCTCAGTTAAAGAAATATTATGCCCTTTAATATAGAGCAAAAGAAAAAACTGGCCAAGTGTTCTGTGTGAGAAGAATACGCTGAATATTCATCTATGAACAATGAGAGGAATGGCACCCAAGAAAGGGAACTGTGGAAAAATGAAAGACCCTCTTGTTTTTTGTCTTTCCTTTATACATGTATAAAACTGAACAAAGAAAAGAGGCACAAACCCTAGTGTGTGTTCTACTGAAGAAAAACTTGTTTCTGAGAGTTGTCCAGTTTTGCTAAGTCCCCAAATAGCTATCCTCTAAGGAAAAAAAAATATTTTGTTTTAAAGGCAAAGACTCTTGGTTACAGAATACTTCCATGTAATGTAATGTTCAGTCTTGCATATACGGAGATTATAGGCAAGGCATCTTTTTGGTCATTTTAGACCATAGCAGTGCAGGTTTTATAGGTACCTTTCTGTACTCTTTTGAGGACAAAATGTGCATGTTTTCAAGGCAGGAAACCTTGAAAGTTGGGGGATAGTTTTGGGCAGTAGCACAGAGTTAATTTCTTTGCAGACCAACTAGAGATTGAAACCACGAGCAGATCTATTGAAATCCCAAGTTCTCATGACAGTATAGGCCCAAATTCTGCAGAGATCTCAAGTGCTAGAATAGGTGGTTTGAAAAGTATCAGAGCTCCCTGCCTTCATCCTGACAGTAGCATTAATTTTAAAATGACTATATTCCTAGATAAAAACACACATTTTAAAAATTTTATAAATAACCTGAATCCTTTTGTTCTGACAATATAATAATGAAGACATAATATTAATAAATACAAATTAATGTTTTTTGGAGTTTTTAAAAATCCATATTGATTTCCAAAACGTTTGTTTCTACTGCTGAAAAGAGAAATTCAAACCACCTGATTGTTCACAGTAAGTAAAATTCAGCTACATATTTATCTTTGATTTCACTAGACAGGTAATATTGAAAAAAATGAAACATGCCTGTCACCTGACACTTGCAAACATAATATTTGTTAAACTTAGTGTTTTTGTTGTTGTTTTGTTTTGTTTTGTTTTTTAGTAGGGGCGTGCTCACTATGTTTCCCAGGCTAACCTTAAACTTCTGAGCTCAAGCAATTTTCCCACCTCAGCCTCCCAAGTTGCTGGGATTATAGGCTCATATCACCACACTCAGCTTCTTAAACTTAGTTGTTTTATGTTTCCTGTTTTAAATTTTAGAAATAAATGGATTTAACTAAAACAATAGCCTTTAATTATTGTAGCAGTTTTAAGTTTACAAAAAACAAACAAACAAAAAACAAACAAAAAAAAAACCTGGGGAGAAAGTAGAGTTCCTGTATGCCCATTCACCCTTCTCCTCCCCACTTTTCCCCATTATTAACTATGGTGGTACATTTGTTACAACTAATGAACCAATATTGATGCATTATTATAACTATAGTACATTAGGGTTCACTGGGTGTACATTTAATGGATTTTGACAAATGCATGATGTTATGTGCCCACCATCATAATATCATACAAATTACTTTCACTGCCATAGAAATCCTCTGTACTCTACCTGTTTATCCCTCCCCATTTCCAAACCCTGGCATCTTTTTTACGGTATCTATAGTTTTGCCATTTCCAGAATGTCATATAGTTGGAATCATACGGGATATAGCTGTTTAGACTGGTTTATTTCATTTAGCAGTATGCACTTAAGGTTTCCCTGTATAGTTTCATGATTAATAGCTCACTTCTCTTTAGTGCTGAATAATCTTCCATTGTATGGATGTAGAAATTTGTTCATGCATTCACCTACTTAAAGACATCGTCGTTGCCTCCAATTTTTTTGCAATTATAAATTGGGCTGCTATAAACATTTATGTGTAGGATTTTGTGGAACATAATTTTCAATGAAATACCAATGAGTATGATTGCTAGATCATATGGTAAGTGTATGTTTAATTTTTTAAGAAAGTGCCAAATAGCATTTTGCATTCCCACCAGCAATGAGTGAGAGTTTGTATTTCTCCACATCCTTGACGGCAATTGTTGTTGCCAGTATTTTGAGTTTTAGCCGTTCCAATAGATGTTTAGTGATATCTCATTGTTTTAATTTGCAATTCTCTAATGGCATATTATGTTGATCATTTTCTATGCAGGTTTTTCATCTGCATTTCTTTGGTGAGATGTCTGTTCAGATCTTTTGCTCACATTTTAATCAAGTTGTTTTTCTTCTTGAGTTTTAATAGTTTTTGGTGTATTTTGGATGACGGTCGAATATCAGAAATGTGTTTAGCAAATATTTTCTTCTAGTCTGTGATTTGTCTTTCACAAATATGGAAGTTTTAATTTTAATAAACTCTAACGTCAATTATTTCTTTCATAAATCTGGCTTGTGGTGTTATATCTAAGACCTTATTGCCAAACCCAAGATCAACTAGATGTTCTCCTATTTATCTTCTAAAAGTTTTACAGTTTTGCATTGTACATTTAGGTCTATGATTTATTTTGAGTTAAATTTTGTGAATTTAATGTCAGTGTCTAGATTTTTTTTCATGTGGATGTTCAGTTATTGGACTATTTGTTGAAAAGACTTTTGCTCTATTGTATTGCCTTTACTTCTTTGTCAAAGAACAGTTGACTGTACTTATGTGGGTCAATTTCTGGCCTCTCTCTTCTGTTCCATTGATCTAAGTTGTATGTTTGCAAATACCACAGTACCTTGACTCATGTAGCTATATAGTAAGCCTTGGGGTTGGGTAGTGTCAGCATTCTGACTCTTTCTTCAATATTGTGTTTCCTATTCTAGATCTTTTGCCTCTCCATATAAACTTTAGAATCAGTTTGTGAATATCCACAAAATAACTTTGTGGGATTTTGATTGGGATTATGTTGAATCTAAAAATTAAATTGGGAAGAAGTAATATTTTGATAGTATTGAGTCTTACTATCCATGAACATGGAATATCTCTCAGTTTATTTAGTTCTTTTTTGATACCTTTGATCAGAGTTTTGTAGTTTTCTTCATAATAGATCTTATACATATTTTGTTAGATTTTATATGAAGAATTTATTTAATTTTTTGGTTTTAGTGTAGGTGTTGTGCTTTCAATTTTACATTTCAATATTTAATTGGTAATATATTGAGACACAAATTTTGTATACCTTTAATGCCTGACTCTCAATTTCTCTTTAAAAAAAAAATCCCTAAACTTGTGTATGTATATTAAATTGCTCTTTGCTTCCACATGGTTCCCAATTCTTCTTTTTTAATATGTGATTTAAAAAAAGCTCCCCATTTTAAATTTATAATACTGCTATTGGTCAACAGCTCATATTTTTATTTGAAGTTTATTCTGGAATGTGTATTAAATGTGGTGTGGTGTGTTTCCAACCATCTTATAAGTCTAATTCATGTATTCCATTGGATATAAAAGAGTAATCTGACTTCTTTATCTTGTAGGAATAGAGTGCTAGAATTTATCTTTTCAAACTTATTTTTTCCTGTTTTTAAAGTGCTTATTTTAACAAACCTGGAAAACACTGAAGAGTATAATAAAATTGTTCAGAAGCCTACAATACAAGTAATAGTTTGAAATATAGGCTCCTTTTTTTAACTTGTGAGAAATTTGTTTTTTTTTTTTTTTGATTTGTGGGAAATTCATCAGGTTTAGAATATGCCACTTCAGATATAATTTTTTTCCTCGTAATGGTCAAGAATTTAGTACATATCAGATGAAAGATTTTGCTAGTTCACCTAAATGTAGACATAAGCATGTCCCTGCTAGTATTGATGGTATTCTCTTGTTGCAAGAAGTTTATAGTGTTTTCCTGTGCCAGAGCTTTTGGGACTGAAGTCATAGGACTTGTTATATATTCTCAGAATTCTCTGCTGACCTAGTAGTGGGGGCCACATTTTTCTTTAAAAATATATAATGAGGTTTTTTGTTTGTTTGCTTTTGGAGACCAGTTTATCCAGATATATAGCATTTGGAACCTGGTAAATTACTTTTGGCAGCACATCACTGAGTAACACTGAGTTAAATGTTTATGAGTCGCACATAAGGTAAAGTAGCTGTTTTCAAAGTGTTAAGTTCTCTTTGGTCTTGTCCACAACATGGATACTGAGAGGTCCTGATAGGCCAATGTTTCTTTTGAATATAGCCAACCTATGGAGAGAAAAATCTGTTAAGTGTTTCTAGGGGTTGGGCAATGTGAAAGGGTATTGGTAAGTTATGGTGAACTGGACTCAAAATATTACTGGAAAAGAAAACAGTCCACAAAACTAACAGGAAACTGTTACTTTAAATCCTTTATTTTAAAATTATAATATTCCCCTTAAAGACTTCTAGCGGTGGGGTGGGAGAATACAAAATATTTAATTTTATAAAAGAAATAGTCTGCTAATTTACAAATAATTTAAAAATGAATTAGTCAATATTTAAAATATTAAATAATGTGCTGTAATCAACATTTAAAATCATCTACATTCAGATCTGTTATCCTAAAATTATCAGTAATATAATATGCCTTAGAAGAAAAACCAGAAGAATTTGCCTCTTATAAGCACTTTAGAGCAACTATTTGATAACAGTGCCTTCAAAGTTAAATATTAGATGGTATTGCCAGATGGATCTCATATGGTAAATAGCACTCTACGAGATGGCATTTTATTTTGCTATTTTTTTTTTAAATGAAAGTCCAACACTAAATAGTCTAGGTCATTAAATGAATTCAGAGTTATGCCTTAAACAAATATAACATTGCAACATAAATTGACAAAGGCCAATGAATTCAAAGTTGATGCTGACTTTTTCCATTTTATTTAAATTATGCAATAGCTTCAGTTATCATTGAGAATTGTTTTATTATTTCTATTGTTGTTGCTAACATACCTTTTGACCAAAATATCTCCAAATATTTGGCTGCATATTGTATATTATAGAGGCAGTTAAAAAACAATGATAGCTGAAACGCTTGGAGAGGTGGTAGTATAAAGAAAACTTAAATGTAGCTTGAAACTCTTTTTTCTTTATGGGAAAGAGAACACTTCATTCAACTATATTTTTCCTGACATAACAAATATATAGCACTGTTTTCAAGCTAGTTACCACAGTTCTTGGGCCAAGAAAATAGAGATGTTTCATTTTAGAAAAAATATTGGTATCGAATATAAATATTTGAGGAAATTCCTTCTAAGAATAAAGAACTTTTCGAGGGAAAAACAGTAAGTAAAAAAAAAGTAGGTTTAAAGAAAGAAAAGCTGATAAGTTTGCATTAAGTTTTATATAGCACAAATTATATGTAATGAGTACATGATATTTGAAGTTTTTACATGTGCCCTCAATTTGTGCAAGTTCCTTCCTTCCTCTCTTCCATCTTTCTGTCCTTCCATTCTTTCTGTTTTGCCCTGAAAATTTCCCTCCCCCTTTCATTTCCCTCCCCCTTTCCTTTCCTTTCATTTCCCTCCTCCTTTCCTTTCCTTCCTGCTTTCATTTCCCTCCCCCTTTCCTTTCCTTTCATTTCCCTCCTCCTTTCCTTTCCTTCCTCCTTTCCTTTCCCTCTCCCTTTCCCTTTCTCTCTCCCTCTCCCTTTCCCCCTTCCTCTTCCCCTTCCCTTCCCTTTCCTTCCTCCTTTCATTTCCCTGCTCCTCTCCTCTCCTCTGCTCTCCTCTCCTCTCCTTTCCCCTCCTTTTCCCTCCCCTCCCCTCCCCAACCTCCCCTCCTTTCCCCTCCTTTTCCCTCCACTATCCTCATTCTTTTCTCTTGACTTCGATGATACCATATTCTGATTGATCTTACCCAATTTTCTGGCTTCAGTTACTATATATGGATCAATTACAGCCACATCTTTATCTTAAACAAGATCCTCTTCCTGAACCTCAGACTCCAATACCAAATTACCTTCTAGACATCTTCATTTGAATAACCCATAAGTAACTTGACATATAAAGAAATAAACTTAGCACATCCAAGCCACTTCTCTCATGATTCACATCTCTGTGAATGATATTACCACCAACCCAGATATCCAAGTCAGGTAAGCTCAGCTTGATCCCTTCCTGACTACCACATTCAGTTAACTACCATATTCTTTTGAATCTACATCTTTGAAATTATCCACTCTGCTGCATATCTAGAGTCACTATTCTATTCTACATCATCATGCTTTACCTTAGTTATTGAAATAATATTCTAATGCCTCTTCTTTCTTCAGTTATGCACCCCTGTTTTTATTTGAGATAAAGGGAAACATGAAACAGTCTGCCATGTGACTTTATCACTTAATACTCTTCAGTAGTTTCCCATTACTCTTATGATTAAGTCTAGTTATTTTCAGAGGTTTCAGAAGGTCAGGCATATAAAGAGGTCACAAATTCTTTTGTGATGGCACAACAGCTTTGTATCTTGATTTTTTTGGTGGTTATATCAATACATGTGATACAAAGACGTACAAAAAATGAGTGCATGCACAAATTGATGAAATCCAAATAAAATTTGTTGTTTATTTTATTGTACTAGGTCAACTTCCTCATTTTCATAATGTACATGGTTATGTAAGATGGTACCAATGTGGAAAGCTGGGTAACGGGTAAATTTGACCTATCTATACTAATTTGCAACTTCATGTGTGTATATAATCACTTCAAAATAAAAAGAAGTTAATTTGCTTGACTGTAGTAATCATTTCACTATTTATAGTTATATCAAAACATGCTGAGCACCTTAAATATATCCTAAAAAAATAAATGATTTCAAAAATGAAATCTATCCATTTCTAGCTGGCTAATGTTGAACAAATTATTTACCCTTTCTACCTTTGCTCCTTCTTCTCCCCAGCAGACTACATTATCATCTAGTCAAAAAAAAGTAGACACATCCATCTAAGTACATGCTTAACATCCCAAGATAAAATCTGTAAATATCCTGGGTCAGCTGGGTGGGACTAGCTAGTGGTATCCTCTTTTCATGAAGTTTTGTAAAAAGAAATTAACCTACCACTTAAAAAGACTAATCTGTTTACCTATGTTTTGAACACTAATTCTACTTTTTTAGAAATTTTGCAGTATTGATTAATTTTATCTTTTCTATGTCTTCATGCTTTGTCTCTTTGTAAACTCCTTTGTTATCAACATTCGAACTTGTTCAAGCCCTTCACTATTTTTTTTTTAAAGAAAAGAAAAAGAAAACTCTTTCCTAACATTTCAATCTGTCTTGAAAAATTACTTTATTTCTTTGGAAACCATTGTTTTTATTGTTTGCTTTTTGACTTTTCATGTATTATTTGGATTATACTAATCATGTTACTGAATCTAATGGACACTTAAAAATTTGTTTTACACATACCATAAAATTTCACACATTTCAAGAATAGAGTTTAGCATATTCGCAAGGTTGTACAAACATCACCACTATCTAATTCCAGAACGTTTTAATCACCCCAAAGGTTCTACACTGTGGATCTAGCAGTCATTCCTGGAGATCCATGCTCTTGTCTTCCAGTGATTTGTAACTACCTGATTATCTCTCCACATAATACTCTACCAAAAACATGGTGATACTGGAGATTTCTCTCTTTGTCTTCTGTTTTCCAAGTTAAACCTCTCTAGTTGCCTCAACTGCCCCTACTGTTTAAGATTTCTCACCATTCTTGAGGAATTGCCACACTGTCTTCCACAATGGTTGAACTAATTTACACTCCCACCAACAGGGTAAAAGCGTTCCTATTTCTCCACATCCTCTTCAGCATCTGTTGTTTCCTGACTTTTTAATGATCACCATTCTAACTGGCATGAGATGGTATCTTACTGTGGTTTTGATTTGCATTTCTCTAATGACCAGTGATGATGAGCTTTTTTTTCCATGTTTATTGGCTGCATAAATGTCTTCTTTTGAGAAATGTCTGTTCATATCCTTCACCCACTCTCTGATGGGGTTGTTTGTTTTTATCTTGTATCTAGAACTAGAAATACCACATGATCTAGGAATCCCATTACTGGGTATATACCCAAAGGATTATAAATCATTCTACTATAAAGACATATGTGTATGTTATAAAAAATACACGTATGTTTATTGTGGCACTGTTCACAATAACAAAGACTTGGAACCAACCCAAATGCCCATCAATGATAGACTGGATAAAGAAAATGTGGCACATATACACCATGGAATACTATGCAGCCATAAAAATGGATGAGTTCATGTTCTTTGCAGGGACATGGATGAAGCTGGAAACCATCATTCTCAGCAAACTAACACAAGAACAGAAAACCAGACACCACGTGTTCTCACTCATAAGTGGGATTTGAACAATGAGAACACATGGACACAGGGAGGGGAACATCACACACCAGGGCCTTTTGGGGGGTGGGAGGCTAGGGGAGGGATAGCATTAGGAGAAATACCTCATGTAGATGACAGGTTGATGGGTGCAGCAAGCCACCATGGCATATGTATACCTATGTAACAAACCTGCATGTTCTACACATGTACCCCGGAGCTTAAAGCATAATAATAAAAAAAAGAAAAGAAAAAAATAAGATTTCTCACCATTCTACATGTTTTTCTCTTTAGGCTTTTTGATAAGGCAGTGTCCTCATAATAAAAGACATGTGCCATGATCTGGCCAGTTCAGAGTAAGGTGGGATAATTGCTATCTTATTTACTTTATTATTGTAGCTCATGTTATTATTGTGGAACTTCTTTGATCCTTGACTGATACATGGAACTTCTGACATTTGCTGACATTCCCTCTATAGTTTCCTGCTTCTAATGAATAATATTAATTTTATTTTGAAAAGTTGGGGTTGGGAGAAGGTAAAGGGGAGATGGATGTGAGGAACTGGCATACGTGACTAACACAAACTTAATGTACATCTGGCATAATCATCAGTTAATTCAATGTAGTTTCATTTTTGACTTGGTTAGTATCCTACAAAATAAATATATTAATACTAAGTTTGAAAATGAGTATATTTCTTGCAATAGACCAGAGATTTGTGGGGTTTGGGATAGCACTAAATGAATACATGTTATGTTCTATCATACTATGGTATTATTTTCAATAACTGAAATGAGAAAATAAGTATATTTTGAAGAAGTGAATAGAAAGCACTTATATCTGATTTCTGCTGAGATTTTTTCAAAGTTACTAAATAAAAGCAGCATTTGTGACTTAGGGTGAAGCTTATGAAATAGGGGTCTTTATATGATTTTTTGTCTTTAAATGTTAAGACTACTCTGAATGGATAGTTTAATGATTCTAAATGGAAACTAGAAAAGCAGGTCTAACAGTAACCAGATGTCCTGGGATTTAGAATGGCATGCTAAAAGTAGCAACCTATATGAAGCTTTTGAAAACTCACAATGCTTGTCATTTCTTATTTTCTTTTATGAACTATTTCAAAAGTATAATAAGGCACGAAATTAATGTAATAAATACCAAATACCCATCACCCATATTTTAAAAACATTAGCATTTGCCATATTTGCTTGAATTTTGTTTTTACAGAAATTAGTCATTGCAGAAATAGTTGAAGTTCCCTTGTGTTTACAGTTCCACCTTTTGTCCCTAGAGGTAACCACTCTTCTGAAGTTAATGCATATGCTTTCAGTTCATATTTTTACTATTTTTATATTTTCATTTCATTTCATGCAGCACATGCGCACACACTTATCCATGAACATTCGGTGCAGTTTTGTTTACTTAAAAATTTACATAAGTCATTTCTCACCATAATGCCATGGTTTGCAATCTATGTTCCAAGGCACTCCTGTAGGGCCACAGTGAACTCACAGGTGGGCCATGAGCTATTTAAAATTTTTAAGAGAAACGTAGCAATATTCAACATCTGTCAGACACCAGGTCAGACACTACCCTGAATAGTTCAGTTTTAGCGTGGGATTTCAGTAAATTCATCCTGATGGTGTCATGTCTTCGTGAAGCTTGGTTTTTGTGGTTGCTGTCATAGAAAGCAGGTACTGCATGAAAATCAATATAGAACAGGAAATAAGTGTGGCAGTGTCCAATCAGATTTCAAGGTTTGAAAAGTTGTGCAGTGCCTGACAGGCACACACATCCCAATAATAATAAACTTAAAGATGGCTATATAAGAATGAAGTAAAAATAATTTTTAAAAATTTGTGTTTATTATTTCTATATGGCTGTATTGCTGGGACAAAAATACTTATTTAATTGTTTAGACCTAAGTACTAAATTAATGGATCTGTTACATACTTTTAAGCTAAGTTTGTTGTGAAAATATTACTAAGACACTAAGTGCTCTGAGAAAAAAGTAAGAAGACAGTGAAGTTTGGATATTTATTTTTCTTTCTGTAATAGTTTATATCAGGCTACGATTATCCATTCCTTAAAGGCTTGGCAGGATTCAACTGTTAAACCATGTGAGATGTAACTTGTCAGGAGATTATTTTTTCTCTCAATTATTGATCATAAATTTATTCAGGTTTTCTATTTCTAATTACATATTTTTCTTACATTTCATGTTTCTAGGAAACTGCTTATTTCATTTGAGTTTGTAAATTGATTGCCATTTAGTTGTTTAGTATATTCTCAGGTTATTTTAAATCTTTCCTATATTGTTTGAGATACATTCTCTTTATTCCTAAAGTTTCTAATCAGTGCCTCTATTTTCTTTCTTAAATATTTAATGATTAATATTTTTTGATCAGCATAAGTTTTACTATGGGTTGAATACTGAAAAAATAATATGGTTTAGCCTAATATATTACACCTCTTCTTAAAGAACAAATTTTGGTTTTGCTGATACTCTCTATTGTACATTTGTTTCATGTTATTAATTTTTGTTCTAATCATTATTCTTTCCTTCTCTTTTACATGGATTATTCTGCTATTATTTTTTAACTTGCTAAGTGAGATCCTAAACTAATTAATTTTACGTATTTAAAAAATCTAATATATGCATTTAAAGCCATAAATTTTCCACTAAGAACCACTTTAGCTGCATCCCACAGGTTTTGATATGTAGTGCCTTTATTGTGTTCATTTTAAATAATTAATATTTCAATTATGATTTCTTCTTTGACTCATGGAATATTTATGAATGTTTTTTTAGTTTCTAAATATATAGGGCTTTTTAATCTATCTTTTCATCTTAATTTCTTATTTTATTCCATTGTGGTCAGATACCTTATTTTGTAATACCAATTCTTTGGTATTTGTTAACACCTCTTTTTAGATCATAATGGTTGAATTTTATAAATATTACACATTAGTTGGAAAGAATGTGCAATTTTCAAAAGGTGAAGTTTTTACACATCAGTTAGTTCAAAATGATGTAATTTAAATCTTCTATATCTTTACTAATTGTATTCTTTCCTGTTGATGTATCTTCTGCCTCATGACTCACTCCTTTACTTTGTTCAGGGTTCTGCTCAAATATCACCTTCTTAGAGTCTTTCTATAAATATTTTTTCTACATATCTGTTTCTCCATCTCTTCTTCTATTTTCTTTTGTACTGCTTTTCTCTTGTGGCATTTGTTAGTACTGAACATTATATTTTATATTTCTGTATTCATTGTCTTCCTCATGAGAGTATAAACAGGAATTATGTTTTATTCACTAATATATCTTCAGGGTCTAAAATATTATCTGCCTAAAAAAGCATTTAATAGGTAGATGTTGAATTGAACAAAAGAGTATCAGTTTTTGATCCTATGGTTAGCTCATTCTCAGGTGAAGAAAGTTGTTTTCTCTGTGAGTGCCTTGGGTCCTTCCAAAGTAATTTAGTATTTCCTTCTATTCTGTGACCCATGATCTGTGCCTGTACTGGTCTACAGAAAACCTAATTGGTTTTGTGTTAATTTTTAGCTTTGAGTTTTCTGTCCCAAATAATGCAATGCTGATTCCTAAGGCACTCATGGCACGTATCTGGGTTTCATTTTCTATGTTTTTTTTTCCCCCAGAACCCTAAGAAGATTTCTAGTTTTATTACTCTGTCTCTGGGCTAGTCTATAGACCTATAGACTTTTCTAGTCTAAATCTTACAGATGCGTGAGGGGACATCCATTAATAAGTGGGAGTCTCAGCTTCTGTTCCACTCCTCTCATTGGCTTCAGGCTTTGTCTGTTTCCCCACACTGCGGACAAATATATGGATATATGTGGCTATGGTGCTCTAGGGGGACACCAAGAGTTCAGCCCCACCTTCTGCTCTGGCTTTGAGTTCTTTCTTTTTGTCTGACACCCAGAGATTTCCCTTTATAGCTTTCATTCTAACTTGTTTCACTTCTTAATTAGCAACATCATACTGAATATCTCTTTATATGAAAAGAAAGAGAGATACAACTCTGTCAGCTGAATCTCCCTGTCTTGACTTTTAATAGTTTTTTTAGGTTATTTATGCTAATCTTTATGATTGCTTATAGCCTAATAATTTTTCTATAGAAGTGCATAGTATGTATATGATTAATATATTTAGCACTTGATTTGGATCATGTTGCCCTAATTTTTCAGTTGCTGACATATTTACTCTTGCACTTTCACATCAATAATCATATGTGAGTGATAAAATTACATCTCCTTTAAGTTAGCAGTTAGCATCATACAGTGAGTATTTATTTGTGAGAGAGAGTGGGTATGTCTAGTGGAGGGAGTAAAAAAGACAGAAAGAGAGAGAAGTTGAAAAGTTTAGGTGGAGAGAGAGATTATTACAAAAAAAAAGTTTAGGAGAGAAAGAGAGATAAGAACGTGCATAGACACATAGGCTCAAAATAAAGGGATGGAGGAAGATCTACGGAGCAAATGGAAAACAAAAAAAGGCAGTGGTTGCAATCCTAGTCTCTGATAAAACAGACTTTAAACCAACAAAGATCAAAAGAGACAAAGAAGGCCATTACATGATGGTAAAGGGATCAATTCAAAAAGAAGAGCTAACTATCCTAAATATATATGCACCCAATACAGGAGCACCCAGATTCATAAAGCAAGTCCTTAGAGACCTACAAAGAGACTTAGACTCCCACATAATAATAATGGGAGACTTTAACACCCCACTGTTAACATTAGACAGATCAACGAGACAGAAAGTTAAAAAGGATATCCAGGATTTGAACTCAGCTCTGCACCAAGCAGACCTAATAGACATCTACAGAACTCTCCACCCCAAATCAACAGAATATACATTCTTCTCAGCACCACATCGCACTTATTCCAAAATTGACCACATAGTTGGAAGTAAAGCACTCCTCAGCAAATGTAAAAGAACAGAAATTATAACAAACTTTCTCTCAGACCACAGTGCAATCAAACTAGAACTCGGGATTAAGAAACTCACTCAAAACCACTCAACTACGGAAACTGAATAACCTGCTCCTGAGTGACTACTGGGTACCTAACGAAATGAAGGCAGAAATAAAGATGTTCTTTGAAACCAATGAGAACAAAGACACAGCATACTAGAATCTCTGGGACACATTCAAAGAAGTGTGTAGAGGGAAATTTATAGCACCAAATGCCCACAAGAGAAAGCAGGAAAGATCCAAAATTGACACCCGAACATCACAATTAAAAGAACTAGAGAAGCAAGAGCAAAAGCGTTCAAAAGCTAGCAGAAGGCAAGAAATCACTAAGATCAGAGCAGAACTGAAGGAGATAGAGACACAAAAAACCCTTCAAAAAATCAATGAATCCAGGAGCTGGTTTTTTGAAAAGATCAACAAAATTGGTAGACTGCTAGCAAGAGTAATAAAGAAGAAAAGAGAAAAGAATCAAATAGACGCAATAAAAAATGATAAAGGGGATATCACCATCGATTCCACAGAAATACAAACTACCATCAGAGAATACTATAAACACCTCTATGCAAATAAACTAGAAAATCTAGCAGAAATGGATAAATTCCTGAACACACACACTCTCCCAAGACTAAACTAGGAAGAAGTTAAATCCGTGAATAGACCAATAACACGCTCTGAAATTGAGGCAATAATTAATAGCCTACCAACCAAAAAAAGTCCAGGACCAGACGGATCCACAGCCGAATTCTACCAGAGGTACAAGGAGGAGCTGGTACCATTCCTCCTGAAACTATTCCAATCAATAGAAAAAGAGGGAATCCTCCCTAACTCATTTTATGAGGCCAGCATCATCCTGATACCAAAGCCTGGCAGAGACACCACAAAAAAAGAGAATTTTAGACCAATATCCCTGATGAAAACATCGATGCAAAAATCCTCAATAAAATACTGGCAAACCGAATCCAGCAGCACATCAAAAAGCTTATCCACCATGATCAAGTGGGCTTCATCCCTGAGATGCAAGGCTGGTTCAACATACACAAATCAATAAACGTAATCCAGCATATAAACAGAACCAAAGACAAAAACCACATGATTATCTCAATAGATGCAGAAAAGGCCTTTGACAAAATTCAACAACCCTTCATGCTAAAAACTCTCAATAAATTAGGTATTGATGGGATGTATCTCAAAATAATGAGAGCTATTTATGATAAACCCACAGCCAATATCATACTGAATGGGCAAAAACTGGAAGCATTCCCTTTGAAAACGGGCACAAGACAGGGATGCCCTCTCTCACCACTCCTATTCAACATAGTGTTGGAAGTTCTGGCCAGGGCAATCAGGCAGGAGAAATAAATACAGGGTATTCAATTAGGAAAAGAGGAAGTCAAATTGTCCCTGTTTGCAGATGACATGATTGTATATTTAGAAAACCCCATCATCTCAGCCCAAAATCTCCTTAAGCTGATAAGCAACTTCAGCAAAGTCTCAGGATACAAAATCAATGTGCAAAAATCACGAACATTCTTATACACCAATAACAGACAAACAGAAAGCCAGATCATGAGTGAACTCCCATTCACAATTGCTTCAAAGAGAGTAAAATACCTAGGAATCCAACTTACAAGGGATGTGAAGGACCTCTTCAAGGACAACTACAAACCACTGCTCAACGAAATAAAAGAGGACACAAACAAATGGAAGAACATTCCATGCTCATGGATAGGAAGAATCAATATCATGAAAATGGCCATACTGTCCTGCGTAATTTATATATTCAATGCCATCCCCCTCAAGTTACCAATGACTTTCTTCACAGAATTGGGAAAAAACTAGTTTAAAATTCATATGGAACCAAAAAAGAGCCCACATTGCCAAGACAATCTTAAGCCAAAAGAACAAAGCTGGAGGCATCACACTAACTGACTTCAAACTATACTACAAGGCTACAGTAACCAAACAGCATGGTGCTGCTACCAAAACAGAGAGATAGAGCAATGGAACAGAACAGAGCCCTCAGAAATAATACCACACATCTACAACCATCTGATATTTGACAAACCTGACAAAAACAAGAAATAGGGAAAGGATTCCCTATTTAATAAATGGTGCTGGGAAAACTGGCTAGCCATCTGTAGAAAGCTGAAACTGGATCCCTTCCTTACGCCTTATACAAAAATTAATTCAAGATGGATTAAAGACTTAAATGTTAGACCTAAAACCATAAAAATCCTAGAAGAAAACCTAGGCAATACCATTCAGGACATAGGCATGGGCAAGGACTTCATGTCTAAAACACCAAAAGCAATGGCAACAAAAGCCAAAATTAACAAATGGGATCTAATTAAACTAAAGAGCTTCTGCACAGCAAAAGAAACTACCATCAGAGTGAACAGGCAACCTACAGAATGGGAGAAAATTTTTACAATCTACTCTTCTGACAAAGGGCTAATATCCAGAATCTACAAAGAACTCAAACAAATTTACAAGAAGAAAACAAACAACTCCATCAAAAACTGGGCGAAGGATGTGAACAGACACTTCTCAAAAGAAGACATTTATGCAGCCAACAGAGACATGAAAAAATGCTCATCATCACTGGCCATCAGAGAAATGCAAATCAAAACCACAATGAGACACCATCTCACACCAGTTAGAATGGCGATCATTAAAAAGTCAGGAAACAACAGGTGCTGGAGAGGATGTGGAGAAATAGGAACACTTTTACACTGTTGGTGGGACTGTAAACTAGTTCAACCATTGTGGAAGACAGTCTGGCAATTCCTCAAGGATCTAGAACTAGAAATACCATTTGACCCAGCCATCTCATTACTGAGTATATACCCAAAGGATTATAAATCATGCTGCTGTAAAGACACATGCACACGTATGCTTATTGCGGCACTATTCACAATAGCAAAGACTTGGAATCAACCCAAATGTCCATCAATGATAGACTGGATTAAGAAAATGTGGCACATATACACCATGGAATACTATGCAGCCATAAAAAAGATGAGTTCATGTCCTTTGTAGGGACATGGATGAAGCTGGAAACCATCATTCTCAGCAAACTATCACAAGGACAAAAAACCAAACACCGCATGTTCTCACTCTTAGGTGGGGAATTGAACAATGAGAACACGTGGACACCGGAAGGGGAACATCACACCCCGGGGCCTGTCATGGGGTTGGGGGAGGGGGGAGGGAGGGGTAGCATTAGGAGATATACCTAATGTAAATGACGAGTTAATGGGTGCAGCACACCAACATGGTACATGTATACATATGTAGCAAACCTGCACATTGTGCACATGTACCCTAGAACTTAAAGCATAATTAAAAAAAAAAAAAAAAAGAAACTGGATACCATCACTTGCAATGTGAAAAAAACAATAAATAAAAAGTTTCTTTCAAAAAAAGAAAAAAAAAGAAGACGATAGGGAATAGATGAGATGGCATTGATAAGACAGTTTGTACCTAGACAAGACTTACCTTTGGCAAGGTTGGTTTAATTCTTTTCAGTGATGCAGATAAACTAGCAGAGGCAGATAAATTATTTCAATTCTAATCTTCCCTCCCTTTCAACATGTTGTACCTGACTTCTACATGTAGCTAAACAGGTACTTTTTGCTGATACCTGAGTGATGTTGAAGGGTTTGCACTTACACTCAACTTTTGGCACTTTATTATTTGTGCTGTATTCATGTCTACAGGGAGAAATTGGTCCCTCTGAGTACAGAGCAAGTGACTGTCAGCTTGACTGTGTTTGAAAGCTCCTATCCTATCATGTGATATTATCAGGAACCAAGGATTAGCAAACCTATGTTATTTTGGAAATACTTTTCTTCAGCATGCTGAACAAACAGCAAGAGCATAGGTAATAAAGCTATTGAAACCTCACAAGTGAAATGTGAGCACTTCATCCTCTTTTGAAAATATTGCAACGTTTTGTGATTTCTCCTTCATATGAGGAAAGAGAAAGAATCTTTCCAATTATTTCTTTAATGAATCAGTTACTTTGTGGAGCTTTTGAAAATGTAATTTTTCAGATAGATTCAACAGTCTTACCCCTATTGTGTAACTTAGTAGTAAGCTTTCTGCATTCATTGTACCTGGGAAGGTCAAGCATTTTATGACCTCAAAAGCCTGATTCTTGTTTCATAGAGACAATTACCTAAAAGTTCCCGTTATTTAAAATGGATATTTCAACCATCTCAAGGTTTACTTTTACTGGGATTCTCAAGTGGTTTTATTTATTGAATACTGAATCAAACTGAAGCAGACTTTATCATGTTATCTAAAATCTTACTTTATGTATTTTCTCATTTTATTTTAAAAATCATGGTTGTATGACATGCTGATATAATTTAATGGTAAACTTTACATTTAGATTTTATAGTTTTAGCATTTTTGTCAAACCCTAGTTGAAGCTACAAAAATATTTTGACACTATAGCTAGAATAGATAAAGCAGAATTGGATGTCAGAAGCATAGAGTACAATTTATTGGTTATCATGATTAGACGGGCTGATAATGAAAGCTGATTGGCAGTAGGATTTATTACAGAAACTATAAGATGGAGAATAGAAAATGATAACATTGCTAATTAATATGTAATGTATCTTATGACAGTGTGTTATCATTTAGAATCTTTACTAAATTTTAGTTTAATTGTGTGGCTGTTTTGGTGTTAAAACACAATTTTGAAAAACATATAATGCGTTTAAAATACCTTTTGAAAGTAGCTATCAACCAGAAACAGGTAAAGGTGTATTTATTATACTTTGGATAAAGGTATATTCCAATTGGGAAATTTGGAAGACCTAAAAGATTTTGAGGGAGAAAGAATTGTTATAATAGATGTAAATGTAATGTTGAATGGCTTACAGGGTATCTGACAACATTCTCATAAAACATTGTAAGAGAAATCAGTAAACATCTTGAAGACAAAGGAATCATGAGCGATGAAAAAAATGAGTTTATTATAAACAAATCTTGCCTGACAAAATTAATAATGTTTGAAATAGAATGCAGAATTAGCATGGTTAAGGGGAATGTATATTTTGAACTTCAACCGAGTGTTTGTTGTAGCTTTTCAAAAATAATTGTAGAATTACGATATAAATAATCTGATGGATAAAATATGCAGAGAAAGCTGATGAATCTATAGAAGGCCAAAATGTAATGCCAAGAACACCCTCAAATGGATTGCAGGATTAGGCGGCAGTGATAAGAGTGACCTGAGGGGTTCAGTTTTCCCGTAATCTTTTCCAACCCCCCCATACACATATATTTCATATAAAAGCAAAATGTGTATCACAGAAAAGCAGATTCTAACACAAGTCCTCCTAACACACTTTCTGATCAAATTTTCTTTCTAAATCTCCCCATATATAAACTTTGGAGGCTTCACTGATGGGTTAGATCAGGGTTTGCCAAATGCATCCCACCCCCTTCTGTAAACAAAGTTTTATTGGAGTACAGCCATGGTCATTTGTTTATATGTTTATTGCTTATGGCTGCTTTCAGACTATAGTAGCAGAATTGAGTAGTTGAAACAGAAACTTTATGACCTGCAAAGGCTAAAATATTTATTATTTGGCACTTTATAGATAAAGGTCCTGGTTTAAATGAATGGATGTTTTCACCTGTAGAGGCATTAGAACGCTTGTCAAGGCTAGGTATAGTCAGGATATTTGTACATTGTATGAATGTGGGAGGGAGTGAACATGTAAAGATTCAGGGTTTGGTCTCACCCCGAATCTTACCATGTTTCATCATTTTGACCCATCTATTTTGGCAGTAAAGGTCCCAAATTGGGTATGTGTCGTTGTAACTACTTTCATTCAGTTCCATTCAATTGTTTTTGACATCATAAAAGGACATAATGACATATCAAAAGTTTAATGGGGAAGTGTGAAGGAAACAATAGCTGAGAAGAACAATGTTGTTAATCTTATGTATTAATACATTTTAGGTCTAATGTGGTAGGAATATATTTTGTTTAGAACTTTTTCAAAATAAGCTTCATCCACTTGATCTTGGACCTATCTCTTAAATGGACTTACTGTGCCCCATTAATGCTGAGAGACAGAGCATTTTTCATCCTAGGATTCAACTGAAAAAAGAACTACCTTGCACATTGTAAGCACTTGAAAACTATTTATGGCTAACGATTTCTGTAAATTCATTTATTCGTTACTCAGATCTATCAGTGCTTACTATGTGCCAGGCATGACACCTAGGGGCAAGTGATTTGGCAGAGAATAAGACAGATAGCCTCCTTAATGTAGGAAAATCGACAATGAGTCAGTTTATAAATAAGTAAAATAGTTGCAGATAGTGATATCCTGTGAAGAAAAGAAATCTGGGCAGTGGGATCAAAAGTGACTTGGGTCAGATAGGGTGGATAGTGGGATAAAGAGTAACCACGTGCCATTTGAGTTGAGGACTGAATGATGAGAAGGGGAAGCCATCATGAAATGATCTGGGAGAAGAGCCTTGTAGAAAAGCGTGTTCAAAAGCCCCAAACAAGCATGGCCTGATGAAGGAAGACAAAAAAGGTAGTGTGGCTGGATTTTAGTAAAACAGTTGGTGTGTAGGGATGTGTGAGTGTATGTTTGTTTCTGTGTCTGTGTGAGAGTGCTCTTGGGAACAGGACATTAAATTAGCTCCTTGTTTGTTTTCTTAGGTACTCAATTGATTAGTCTTTTCTAAACATAAATGTATGTTTCTGATCTAAAATGAGAGTTATTGAATTGATTGTATCTGAATCAACTGTTGTTCAATGAAAGAGAAGGCCATTCATAGGTGTCTTGATAGAAATAAGAGTGAGAAGAGAGAATACACTGAGATAGTGAAAGTTTGGGAGAAATTGGGAATTAGGACTTGGTTCTTTGGCTCCAAGACCAAAGAGAAGCTTATTTGGAATGTCACTACATGGGTCTGGGTAGTTGTTGTGCATCCTGATGGAGCAGAGACTTGTTCACAGAAAATGGTGACGGAGCAGGGACATTTAAAGAAAGCTGTCTCCTGTTGTTGGAGGGAGGATTTGAGAAAAGGACAAAGATTTTTAAAAAATGACTAGTTACTGGGTCCAGCACACCAACAAGGCACATGTATACATATGTAACTAAACTGCGCATTGTGCACATGTACCCTAAAACTTAAAGTATAATAAAAATATATATATGTATAATTGATTTTTAACAAGAAAAAGATTAGGACTGGGAATGGGCCAGGCTCAATAACTGAAAAGAGACATCCTAAACCCTGTGATCTCCATCATCAATGCCAGTCTCACAGAAGAAAAATAAGTTGTTGGTAGATGGACTGGATTATGATGTGGGAGGATGACATGTTCAAATTAAACCAGGAAATGGAAGGAGTGTGTATCATATCAATACACCTTTGGGGAGAAGAAAGAAAAAAGTAAATTCAGAGAGCAAAACTGGCTTTGGATAAGAACGTCAACTGGGCAATAATATAGCAAAGGAAATCGTTTCGTTTTAAAAAGCATTACTGTAATGCTTATTGAAGCAGTTGTGAAAAACCTGAAAACCGTGAGTTTATGCAAAGACACATTTTTGAAACTAGAAAATAACAAGAGGTCTATAACAAACGTATGGAAAATTTCTAAGCATTTAAAACCTATAATTGAAAATTCAGTTAATTTAGTTTAACAAATTACTTAAAATTTAAACTCTGTTGGCTGTATTTTGGCTTAAATGTAAAAATTCCTAGTCTATAGCTGTTAATATATTTTATATCACAGATAGGCAAAAGTCTATGCCTTAATTGAAAGGATGAAGCCTTTCATATCAGTCTGAAGCCAAAAGTTACACACAAACTTCTTTCCTTTTTTGACTTGCTTGGATCAGATACTGATCAGGTGCTTTGCTTGGGTACAGACTTGAGAGTTTTACTATTAGCTTTCATCAGCTTTTTCAACATTGACCTTTGACCATGAAATATGAAGACAAGAACGGCCTTGAGAAACAATGCTTCTCCGGTTCTAAATCTGGTTCCTCGGTGTAATTATATATCATGCTTTAATTTCTCTAACTGGCATTTCTCGAGTTAAAATTAATTTGAGTTCACTATGAATTTAACAGAAATTGACAGAGTAGAGACGAATACCTCATGCTGAACTATATAGGAAGGACATCGTGAAGGACATGTTGAGGGCATAGGAAAAGCCTGATATATATGTGAAAATATTTCAGCTACATGAACATTGCATGACACATTGTAAACCCAATAATTGTTTGCTGAAACAATGTATATTTATTTAAAATCTTATTTCATTGGGTGAGACAGTATAATTTCTGCATTATTTGGAATTAGGATATATAATGGAACTAGATTATGGAGGAATTTGAAAACCAAGTATATAGGACTTGATACTGTAAATCATTAGGAATTATTATAGGAAATAACTAGATTATTTCCAAATATTTGTTTTATTATGGTGTGTAGGATGATATAGAGATAGATAGAGGCAAAGGATGATATTTTATTCCAGGCATACTTTTATATTAAACCAGGTTCTCATTCCCAGCCTAGCTTGGCTGCATTGAAATGAATTTCTTCATAAAAGTCTATAGGTCTAATGTAAAAAAAAACTTTGGACTTTGGAGGGAGGATTTGAGAAAAGGACAAAGATTTTTAAAAAATGACGAGTTACTGGGTGCAGCACACTAACAAGGCACATGTATACATATGTAACTAAACTGCGTGTTGTGCACATGTACCCACAGGACTTTGAACATTCTGCTTTATTGTGCCCTTTTATACTTGTGTCTCACTGGTACCTGCCTGTTTGCATTTATTTTAGGGAGTAATTCAATAAAAATTAAATGGAATGAATTTATAACTAAAACCTGTTCTGTGCAAACCATAAGGATGGGATTTATTTATTTTATTTATTTTTTAAGTCAGCCTTTTCTCTTCATGGAATTACTCAATGTGTAAAGATTGGTACACTAAAAGCAAATCCTGCATTACAAATTGGTTGCTGTCTTTGGTAGCAATCTGCCAAGAGGATATTTCAAGAAAATAGTCATACTGCAAATTTGGCCCCTTGCTGGCCCTCATTAAGTATGCATTTTACTTTGACATGTTATTTCATAGAAATGATTTAGGACTAGAAATTAAAAGTTGTATCGACTGGTGTACCTCTCATCAGATGAATTAGGAATAGCAGACAATCCTGCCTTTGAGAAGTTATTATGATAATATTGCCCATTTATACTGTTGTCTTGGTTGCCTTTGGAATATAATCATTCACATATTTATCCCATGAAAACTATTTCCAAAAAGGAAATGAGAGGTCAGCTTTGATTGTATAATTCCACACTTACTAGCTGGTGGTACCTTAGTTTTTTAATTTTTGGCATTGACTCTGGGAAATTTACTATGGTATAAAACTGCCAGCTGCACAAAGGTGGGGCCAGTTTTGTCAGCATCTTATGAACAATTCACCAAATGAATTTTTCTGGGAAAACCAGTATGAAAGTTCCTTGCATGGTAGTGAAGAAGTAGACTTGTGTTAAATATAATAACACACAAGAAAAACCATCAACTCATGAAAGATTGAAGAACTCATGAAAGATTAAAGCTGGAAATGGAACATGGTCTGTAGGAATCCGAACTCTGCAACCAGATTGACGGGGGCATAAATCCTGGTTCTGCCGCTCAGTAAAAGGGTGTCCTTTGGCAAATTACTTACTCCCTCTGTTCCTTAGTTTACACATTGATAAAGTGGGTATGATGATATTACCTACCTCCTAGAGTTTTTGTTAGGTTTAAATAAGTAAATACAAATAAAAGCGCTTTGAACAGAACCTGAATATGGGGACTGCTCATGTATTTGCTATTATCTGTTAATCTTTAGAAGTAAAGATGAAAATTAAATAGATTTCTCTTTGACTCTGCCTTCTATTGTTACAAAAATATAGGAAGAAAATTGCTGTCACTTCTAAAATGTGGAATGATTTTAAAGCAGCACTATTTTGTTTCAAAGCTCAAATACCTTGTAATGCAATTGTCCTTAAAGGAAACATATTTAACCTTTAACCAAGACTAAATTAACAAGAATTGTTTTTACACACCCCTTTTAGAAGAAAGGTTACAAATCATAACAAAATAGCTCATTATTAGGCCTGTCTTCTGAAGGAACTTCAAACATTCTCCTTTTGTCCTGGGGGTTACTGTATGAGTGCAATCTCCTATGTCTAGTTATTTAGAATTCTGTAAAATTAGAAAGCAAGGGGTTTTTATTGGGTCTCTGGATCCCTGGAAATTTCATACAAAATTTCGTGATCATATGCACTTTTCTAGAGAAAAAAGATTCTTGGTTTTTTTTCATCGTCCCAGAGGCCCTTCTGACTTCCCAAAAGTTCAAGAGCCATCCTCTAAGGCAACATAATTTTTTCATTTTAAGTGAAAGATAAAATTATAATTCCCTATTTACTAAAGCAGAGAAATCTAGTAGAACATCTTATATTTTTAGTTAAAATGATCTAAAAACAAAAACACCTTTCCCCCTAGAACCCTTAGCTAACCAGAACATTTAACTAACCAACATTTCAGGTAATCAATGGTTACTTGCATCAAGCAGCAATCTTTCTTCAGTGATTAGCTACGCTGGTGAAAATAGTCCAGTCTTATCTGGAGAAAATGGTGATTTTTTAATTTATTCATTCTTTTTTTCTTGAAGTTTCAAAATTATTAATATTTTTATAGTTTCATAATTATACATTTCTTATGGTATACTCAGGAATAAGAGTATTCTATAAATGCTTACTTCAAAACTATTATATCAATCTAATATAATTTAGTACTGAATATTTCTGCTCATGGTGGAGTGAAATATCTGACAGAAGACTAGGGAAAGCTGGAAGAAAAATAATTTTACTGACCTGTGAAATTTAAAAAAAGTCTTCTATTTTTTATGAACTTATGTAAATGTTTAAGTGCATATTTACCTTGGTATTTTAAAATTGCTTTTACTAAAATGGCTAAATAGATTTTTAAATAATTGTTTTATGGACCCTTAGAAAGGATATACATTTCAAGCCCAAAAACTTTAAAGTTTTTAGTTGAAGGGGATTAAGTAAATAATTTAGAAGTTCATTGTGTTTACCTGTTAATAATTAAGCAGGTTAGATTGTGTACTTTTTATAGTCACTGAGTTTTAATTTATTTATTTGTTGATGTGTTGGTTTTTAAGAATTTATTTAAGGCATTCTGCTCTTGGGAAATAAAAATAAACAGAATGAAGCTTCACATAATAAAAGGAAGGGCTCGGGTTACTTTTAAACAGACAAGTAAAGAAAAAAATTGATTGTATTTTAGAGTTAAAAACAGTATTTAGTACCTAATCTTTCTGTACTTTTTCCCCCTATTTAGAAGCGAACCTGAAATACCTAAGAGCAAGTATAACTGAGTCAGTGAATGGTCTTTTGTTGTTGCTCTCGAGCTCCAGCTCCATGGAATTTGACTTTATTTCAGATGGCTTTAGTATGGGGTTTAGCCAGACCAATCTTATGAAATGTTCTTTGAGAATATACCATAGAACTTACCAGATTTCCCTGGTGTTTTAAAAACTCTAATAATATATCCAAATCCAAAATGAATACCTCCACCTTAGGATGCATGATTATGGATGAACTGAAATTAAAGCTTTTCCAGTCTTTGAAGGAATGTATCCTTGTCTTCTTGACGATGGAACTGTACAGGTTCTTTATGATCTTTCAGGATGATCAATTGGCTTTCATTTGCCTTTTAAAATAAAATACAATTAAACCTTATGTTTAAATTTTTATTTAATGAAGACTTGTTTGCTATAATTATTAATAGATAATGGTCTTTAACAGTTTCTATTCATTTTGTACTCATTGGGAAGGCCTTATACAAAATAATGTCCATTGAAACAATTAACCAGAAGTCATAGTTCATATGTTGTAGGGTCATATGTTTTGAATGACATGTTAAGGACTATGGATTGAAAATTTCTTATATGGGAATGAACAGCATGATTTTATAGCTACTTAAAATTTGCTTACTTTAAACTTTTACTTAATTGAAATTTATACTACTCCTATTTCCAAAACTGATTTGGAGCATCTTATGTTCTCATGGTGTATTTTGTCTCTCTTTATACAGTAGTCCTATCATTGAAATCGATGAACATTTCATCTATTTTCTCTTGTAAAAGTATGTTCACAGTATAAATGTAACCTCCAACTTAAGTTTTCTACATTCCAGGCTGTGCTTTTCTTTGAAAGTTTAATTGGAGATGTTACCAGTTAAAATTTGGTTGCTAGGAACCTAATAGATACCATTCTGAGTAGTTGCTGTTATCTTTATAAATCCTATTTTTCTTTCTTTGTTGTTCTCTTCCCTTCCTCACGATACCTGCCCTTTCTCCTTTCCTTCCTTACATTTTTTTTTCTCTAAAAAAATCTATGCAGTTAAAAAGGTTTCACCAAAAATGACAGATAGACATTTTCAAATGTCTTTCTTAACATTCAGGAATTCTAATAATATAAATTAAATTTTTCTTTCCTGAAACATAAACTAGGTGCCTTCTTTAGTGCTTTTTATGTTTATAAAAAGTAATTTGTTTTTATTACAGAAAATTTGGAAACAAATTCTAAGAAGAAAAAAACTGTCATAATCTTAAGATAAATTCAAAGAATAATGTAGTTTAAGTTTTTTACAGTCACATACATACTTTTTCTAATGCACACACAAGCACACACACACACACACACCTGGTACATACAGATCTATACTTACATATGCACATAACCAAAAGTTGTGCATAGTCTGTATTTATATTATATAGAGAAAAATTATTAAATATTGGTATGGTATGTTATCATTATTACCATTTTATAACCTGTTTTCTAAGCTTAATGATGTATTATATATTTTCACTTGCCATGTCTAATGAACACTTAATATCCTATTACATATAATTTATCTAACCAGTTCACTATTCTAAAATATTTTAGTTTATTTAATTTGCATTTCTTTCATTGCTATTGCAGATTAATATTATTTCATATGTATTTTAGCTTCTTATTTCACCTTATTACTTATAGGTATTAGAATTAATAATATTATTTAATAATAAATAGTAATAAGTATTACTATTTTATATATAGTTTAAAATATATTTTATATATGTTTAAATATATTTATAAATGCATTCCATATTTTAGAAGAGAACTCACAATTCTATTGTGAATTGCCTATTCATGTATTTTGCTCATTTTAAAAAGTAGAATAATATGTTTATTTATTTATAAAGACTCTTAACCCAATGAACATTATACACTTTAAAAATATTTATTTTTTATTGGCCTCTTAAGTTTGAATTTTGTTAAAGATGTTTTCTGCCTTACACTTTTTTTTTTTTTTTTTTTGAGACTGGGTCTTGTTCTCTTGCCCATACTGGAGTACAGTGGCAGGATCATGGTTCACTGTAGCCTTGACCTCTCCAGGCTCAGGTGATCCTCCCACCTCAGCCTCCTGAGTAGCTGGGACTACAGTTGTGCACCACCATGTCCAACTAATTTTTGTATTTTTTGTGGAGACAGGGTTTCACCATGTTGCCCAGGCTAAAATTTTTAATTTTAAGTAGTAAACATCATAAATCTTTATGCTTATATTATATACCACTGTGTATGTACTTTAAAAGTCCTTCCCACATTGGAGTTCAGAAAATTATACATATGTATTTTCTTAGAGGTCCTTGATTGTTTTATATATTATATTGAGTTTTATTGACCTGATTTATATTTTAGTACTGATAAGAATTAGAGAACAGAATTTATTTTGCCACAGGTAATCAGTCAGCTATCTCAACATTGTTCATGGAAATGTTACTTGTAACATTTACCCCATACCTAAGTTCCCCTGGCCTCTTCTACTGATCTATCTCTTCCAATGCCAATATCACACTGTCACTTATATTTAACTCTTTGGAAAGAACCTACCTTGTTCTCTGCTTCTTTGCTATAGGACTCAAACCTAATGCTTGATGTTTTCTCATTTAAATTTGTTTTTTAAGTTTGTCAGTCCCCTGGTTTGTTGTTATTGTTTTGAGCTAGCTTTAAAGCATCAAAACTACTAAACATCATTTTAGTTCATTTCAGGACAACAAAGATTTTTTTGATTATTTGTTACATAGCAAGGCTTGTGCTTGCATTAGGAATACATAAATGAATCAGATATCTGTGTAGCAATGTCCCTTCACTGGAAAAATGTGTTAATCTGATGGAGTCAGACAGCATGTAAATAGTAAAGAGAGTGGCCTCATGTTAATAACTTAATTTTCTTCTGATTCTTTCTTATTCTTTTGTTATCTATGACTTCTTGGCCCTAGCCATTTAATATATTTTCCCCTTTTTCTTTTTTTTTTAATTTAGGAAAGGTGAAATATTATGTGAAATTGATTTAACAGAGTTTGATTGATTCAGGTATACGAAAGATGGTGACTTTTTCATATTCATGTAGTCTGTTTATTTTCTAATTAATGAACTGAAAATTGTGTCTTTCTATTTTTGTTCTCTAAGTGTTTATTGAGCTCTTGCTAGGCACTATTTAAGGAACCTTAAGGAAAATAACAGTAAATGCCTTTGACAATGTAATCTAGTGGGGAAACATAATTTATAAAAATATTAGCAATATAATAAAAAGTATTGAGTACACTGTTTGGTATATGCTGGCCATTATACTAGGCAAGGAAATATGTATTATTTAATCCTAAAACAATTCAAACGGTCCTTCAGATTTTTTTTTTTTTTTGAGGCGGAGTTTTGCTCTTATCACCCAGGCTGAAGGGCAGTGGCGCGATCTTGGCTCACTGCAACCTCCACCTCTTAGGATCAAGCAATTCTCCTGCTTCAGCCTCCTGAGTAGCTGGGATTACAGGTGCCCGCCACCACGCCCGGCTAATTTTTTGTATTTTAGTAGAGATGGGGTTTCGCCATGTTGAGCAGGCTGGTCTTGAACTTCTGACCTCAGGTGATCCGCCTGCCTCGGCCTCCCGAACTGCTGGGATTACAGGTGTGAGCCACCTCACCCAGCCAGTCCTTCAGATTTTTTTGTTTTGACTGTCTTCTTTACTTGATTCAGGTTTCTTATTATTCTTACGTCCTTTGAGAAGTTTCCCTGTCCAAATCTATCTAAAATATCAGGCCAGGTAACTCTCAGTGTCATTATCTTGTTTTATCTGACTTCATAGTACTAATTATATGACATTATAAGTCTAACAGTTTATTTGTTTATTGTCTGTTTCTCCTGTTGCTAGAATGAATATTGAATGGAAGAATAAAGAATGCATTGTAGAAGTTTGTAGTTGCAGAATGACAATTTAATTTGGTGTACATGATTTAATTTCTTTAAGCCTAAATTTCTCATCTGTAAATAGATACAGATTTAGTGCCTGTTTTATTGGTTAGGCTGTTCATTCATTCACTGAGTACATATTCATTGATATCCTAGTATATGGCAGGCACTATTCAAGAAAATGGGGTTACAGTGAAAAAGAGAAAGTGCCTGCCCTTATGTTACTTCCATTCTAGAGGAAGAGACAGGTAATAAATTAATAAAAGTAACTTTTGTAATATATCATGTAGTTACCAAATTAATTTTCTCAAAGGTGTCCTCCACTTTATCTCTATGATCAGAACATTTTTTCTTTTCTGTTCCTAATCATCCTATTTCTTCATCATTAATTGTTCTGGTCTCACTCCTCCTAGCAGTTACTAACTTTTAGCATCCCTCCTAGTTTGCTGATGCAGAATAACTGTAATAATGCTGATGCACCCCAAATATAACAGGAGTGTCAGATTCCTTTTCTGGACCCTATTTGTCTATTAGTGCAACCAATCCTTAGGTTTGTTTTGGTTTACTAGTGTGGTTTGTTGTTTGCAAAAATACTGTGCATGCATATTAATGATATAGTCAATTAAAATCCTCAGATTTTTAAAATTTTAATGGGCATTTTACTGTAGATGTACTAGATTATATAATCAAGCATATGTTTAGGTATTGCATTTCCATTATTAAAACTGCTTTTGAAACTTTGAATGCCTAAATCTCTGTGGAGATTATTAGTAAATGTGGCATCAAGGTCATCATTGAGATTTCATAGCAAATTTAGAGAGATCATTTTCTAATGGGAACACAACATCAAATTCAATTTTTAATAGGAGAGCTGTTTTTAGTTAAATCTTTCTATAGTCAAAATCACCAAATTGGCTTTAAAGTAAACTCAACATCCTGCCTGTTCCCATCCAGCTTCAATTCTTTACTAAAGAAATTTAAAAGCAACCCATCCATTTGTTTGGCATCCTTGCATCTAAATATGGGTAGGACCCTACTATTAGCCTTTCTGCTAAAACAGGAAATATTAAGCCATGTTTTAATGTCAATGCCTTAGGTACTAAGCTGTACTGAACATGTTACCCTTTGCATCTTTATTTCTTTCCACCCATTTTCTTTTTATTTTCTTTGGTTTATCTGAGTTTATGCAAATATCTCTAACCTTACCTACTATTTTGAGAATAGGGCTTGTGTTTTATCTTTGCATACTTTTAAACTCACCAGTGATGACCAGTACATTATACATCATAGAACTTTGCGAACTCTCTGTTAATAAGAATGAGCAAGTAAATAGGTTAAAAGCAATTTGGGATTTGCTTTTCTTAAAAGAAAACATGAAATAAAAATGCAAATATCCTTATGAGTTAAGATAACTTCTTATGATACTATAGCAAACACCGTGCTATGCCTCCTCAAAAATGTATATGCAGTGGTTTAGATTGTATATTTGGGCCACGTTTTACTGAGTACTTGTACACATATGAATGTGTTAGCTTTCAGTTTTCTTTTTAAAACTATAGATATTAGTTGGCATACACAAACTCAGCTACCTGGGTCATAAAGATATTATAGAAATGCAAATGTTTTCCTTGGCAGATTTCTAATTTTAAGTATTCCTTTTTTTACAGACAAATAAAAAGAAGTGTTAAGAATTGCCTTTGGGACTCTGAAGGCTGAAGGTAATGTCCAGTGGTATTTTCCTGAATGGGCTTTATCTTCTTGAATTGTCTTATAATATTTAAGGTCTTGGATTTGCTACCTCAACTTTTCTTTTATTTTATTATTTTTCTTTTATTGTCCTTAAACACATTAAATATCTTTTTCTATGTATACCTAAAAATAATATGAAATTGTAAGTTAAAAAGTAGAAATTTTATACTCTTTCTGAATATTTCAGCTTAATTAGGTGTTGCTCTAACTCTTGTTCCTTCTATTTCATTATGTATTATGTCCCTCTGTCCTCCTTTTTTTTTTTTTTTTTAACTGGTTTGGAACTCATGATTTTAAACTGTGTTCTTTTGTTAAACAGACATATTGGCTTAAAGTCAGAATGTCAGTAACAATTTCTCCTGAGGAAGAGCTTTACAATTAACTATAAGAAATAAAATTGTATTTGTTGGGGACATTGAAACTCTTCAGATGAGATTTAGTGGCTACTGATAGTCAGAAGTCCAGAATTTCAGGCAAGAAGTTTACAATAGACTCGTGTGGCTGCATTGTGTATAAAGAGCTCACAGGGATTGAAGGAGGCTTCTTAGACAAGAGGGGGCTGTAATTACTTTTCTTCTTACATGCATGGTTAGATTTTCCAGTGAGACTAACATGGTAGGGTAATTTATTATAGAAGAGTAAATCACAGATTACATTGGAGGGGGATGGGGTGGTGCGATCCAACCATCAGTTTTGTGAATACATACACTTAAGCATGTGTGATAGCTTGTTTTTAATTTCTTTACACCAGTGCACACCTCAAACATTCCGTTTAGCAGTGGGATATGCAAATTGTTCCAAATGCAGCAGCAGTACTTTCACCTGAATGTCAAAACTGTCAGAGAGGTTTAAATCAAATCTTTATAACATTTTTTAAAAACCAGCCAGCCCCAAGATCGAGGCACCAAACTCACTGAAAAAAACTTCATTCTCATACTTCCAGAAAGCTCCTGTATGTCAACAGGGTAATGTCAAAGTTCTAATTCACCTGCTTTCTAATTTTAACCTTTTAAGGATTTTATTTTATTTGGCTTAATTACGATATTTTCTACAAATTAATGATAAATGCCTTGATTAATAAAACCAAATGTCAGAGAAAATGACAACTTGATGAAAAATTAATACTCGGCAATATTTTAAGGTACAGAAGTACTAAAGATGTACTCTTAAACCTCATATTTCATTACCTCTTTCTGAAGGTAGTTAACGAGAATTCTCTTTGCACGTAAGTTTTCACAGCCACATGTACAGATACATTTTAGCAATATAATTTTCAGTAATTTCTGCTGTTCTTTTTATTATTAGCTATTAAAGTTAGAAATATACTTCTAATTTTTATCCCTGCCTTGCCCCATAAGATTATTTATTTTTATTCACAAAATCAAGGTAAAGTATATTTTGGAGTGGTTATGAGTTTAAGTTACCATACTAAGAATCAAGTTAGCAACCTGTCTGTGTGAATGTGTGTGTGTGTGTGTGTCTGTGAGAGAGACAGAGAGAAATTAAAGAAACCTCATTGTGTAAAATTAATGTTTGGTGATTGGTTATCTGCTAGACGATTTATTTGGTTATGAACATTTCAGGTTTATATTTAAAATTATCTGAGAGGGAGAAAGAATATCGCTTTTCAAAGTGGAATAGATTTTAACATGATAATTTCCATTTTTGTTAAATATGTTTTTTTCCTGAGATTACATTAAAAGACCTGAAGACAAGTGAAGAGTGGTAACTTCCTTTTTTCTTGTATACTAATAATTTTTTGGCTAGCTCAAAAAACCAAATAATATGAAATATGATTATTTTTCTACTTTTACTGGAGATCATGAAGTTGAAAGTTAAAAATATCCCGTGTATTTTTCCATCTTCACAAATATCAGGATTTCAGAACATGAATAAAATATTTGATTAAATCTTATGCAGAAATGGTACTATGCAGGTACCAATGGTACATGCAGGATTGTAGTCCATGTTAGTTTTTTATTTTCATATTTTACAGATAAAGCTGCCAACCAAATGAGGGAAGGCACAATGACCTCTTGTGTGTTTGTTTTGTTTGGTTGTTCAGAATAAAAAGACCCACAATATATACTGTCAATGAAATGGACTCACTTTAATGATCTGTTCATGTAATGACATGATGTTCATGCCTATCAACAAAAATTTTTGCCAACTAATGTTAGAATCTCCTTTTTCTGTAATATAATGAGAATTTCTAAGTAGGTATTTTAGGCATATTGCTCTGCATAGTGAGATAAATAAAGGTAAGTGTTGGTCAACATTCTATAACCACAGTGTATGCCAATCCCAAGGGAAAACATTCTTCAGTGTAGATTTCCAGTAATATTTAAAATTTGGAGATGGATTGCATTGAATCTCCCTTAGCTGGCTCTAGGTTTTATTGTTTTTGTGTCTTTCCTGGTTCCAGGCATCCAGTCTGTACTGGCAAAGCTGCTTGATGAGGAGGGGCCTCCAACATTGCTGCCCCAATTGCTTACATACCTGCCATAAATAATAGCTTTGTCCACTAGTTAATCATTGCATTGTAACTGTCTCTGTTCCATCTTAGCTGATCACTGCCCAGAGGAGTTTAAGTTCCATTGTAATACAAAGCTCCTATTACCTTTCTGTACCTGCATTTATGTGCCTGTAAAACCATCCATTCTTCTCATACACCAGTTAAATAAGACATGTCCCACTTTTTTTGACAGTTTCTAAATTACATATTTAAAAATGTGTCTTTTCCTCCTTGTTTATTCTGTTCATCCTTTCGTCAGTTTACTTCTGCATATAAACTAGTGTTTTTTCATTAGTTACAAGATTTGATTAAGGAATTATTAACACCTATTTTACAATCCGCACTTTTATCTATTTTTTGTTGAGATTTTAGTTATTTGGGGTAAGTACTATAAGAAAATGTCATCCTTTCCCTAACACGTCTATGGACAAAGGAGAAAGACTGGAACCCCCCAAAATCTCTGAGACCTTTGTCTGGTCTTACATGGTTTGATCCTAGGAATGAGGGCACTGGCCCAACCTTACACAGAATCTTCAGTTTTAGGGAGTTGAGTTATGATTATTTAAACTCAGTGCTTGAATTAACACACATAACAATCAGCTGATACACTTTGAATAATCTGAATCTTCCGAAAAAATAAACAGCGTTAGAATATCTCTCATCCAACAAAAGAAAAAAAGTAAATATGTTTTATGGTAGGCTTAAAATATATAAATTCCCAGTTTTGATACTCATAATTGTACCATATGTTCTCTCTAAATGACTTGGTAGCACCTTTGGAAATTGCATTATCTTTTTTTTTTTTTTGACGGAGTCTCGCTCTGTTGCCCAGGCTGGAGTGCAGTGGCATGATCTGGGCTCACTGCAAGCTCCACCTCCCGGGTTCTTGCTATTCTCCTGCCTTAGCCTCCCAAGTAGCTGGGACTACAGGCGCCCACTACCATGCCTGGCTAATTTTTTGTATTTTTAGTAGACACGAGGTTTCACCGCGTTAGCCAGGATGGTCTCGATCTGCTGACCTCGTGATCTGCCCGCCTCGGCCTCCCAAAGTGCTGGGATTACAGGCGTGAGCCACCGCCCCCGGCTGCATTATTTCTTTTAAGCCTGTATTTTATTCTGCTATCTCAAGTAATTGATTGTGACCTTATTGGCTTGAAAAGATTAATGCAGCTTCCAGAGTTGACTAATGCATAACTTACGTACCAGTAGAATGATAAGTTTTTGAAAATAGGAATCATTTACCTTATTTGCTTTCTTTGGAAACCTGTTTATTAATTGAATAAAATGTTTTCATGAAACACACTAATAAATGAAGCAAGCAGAAAGTATTAAGAAGAAGCACGAACATTGTCCAAGATGTATAGGTGATTTGTGTTTCTTGCCTCAATGCTGCATTCATGCTTTCTCCCTGTCTACCATTCCCTAAAATACCCAGGTCTCTTTCTGTATCCTTTAGTGATAATAAGATGTTTTTTATTCCTCTAATGAAGTGGGAAGTAAATTAACACAGTTCTTTTTGGGAATTACATTACTCATTGTAGTACCACTCAACATACCTTTGTAATACTAACCCGTACCCACAACTAATTAGTGAATTTCAGAATTAAGGAAAATCTTAGTTGTGTGGTAGCTGTATATTTACCAGTGATCAAGGAAGTGTTACTAATACACTCGTCAGTATTAAAAAAAGAATTAAGTACACAAAGGGCCAGCTGGTTGAGCCCAGGACCTATCAAGAGCCCAGTATGTGTGGGCTGGCCCAACGGAATGACAAAAACACTTACCAGGCTAAGTGGAATCAGATTTAAGCTTTCACTTACAAGAAAGATAATGCTTTTCAAATGTGTTTTCTTATCATATTGTGATTTACATGTGCAAGTCTCATTTGTACTGGTAACATTTGAGACCACATATTTCCCTGTGTATCAAGAACTATGCATATTTACATGTATCAGAAAAATCTCTTGGTACATGAAGTATTGGGTTCATAGTTCAGCAGTTACCATGTAAGCATTTTTGTTGGTTCAGAGAATCCTACTTTTCTCTCCTACAAAAATCTATAATTTTACTGTTATAACATACATATTATACTTTCTTATAACTGAATATTTGTCTCATCCAATAGATTGCCTGGCTCATAATATAAGGTACCTGGTTATAGAGTATTTGCCATAGTAATGGTTAGATAAGGAACGAGTAAATATTTGCTTAGTGTTTATAACACTATTATAATAGTAGTTACAATAAGGTTAAATTGGAGAAATTAAAAAGCAAATTCCTTCTCTTTCCTGTGATTTAACTGACTTTACCAGTATACGTATAGAAATATCCTGTTCCCAACTATATTTTGTATCCCTTTCATTTTTCATCTGTTTTAATTTATTTTATTGTATAATTGTGTACTTTTGGAAGCCATTTTAAATCTTTTTGGTTTCAAGGATCGATGTATCAGTGAATTGTTGGATGGGTAAATTGATTAAATACAGTGTACATTTTTAGGGATTTTTCTCTCCACAATTGCACAAATAATACTAGAGGAGACTAGCTAACTCAATCCTCCCTCCTTTCTTCTGTCAACCCCTTCTTTCCATTTTCTAGCGAATATTTATGGAATGCTAGCTCTGTGCCAGAAACTTTGTAGATGTTATAGATAACTGTTGAACAAAAGAGACTTAGTCTTTATCCTTGTTGAGCTTATAGTCTAACAGGGAGATATAATAAGCACATAAATAAATATTAGAGACATAGATATATTAATAAATGACTATTTTGCTAACCTTCTCAATTCTAGCTTGGGTTAGGGAATTGAGTCTACGGTGGAGAAAATTATCTTCAATGATCTGCCTTCTTAATGGTGGATGACTTGTAGATTAAAAATTGTGGAGAGGCCAAAGTATTTCAGATTATGTTTTAAGGAGCAGGTGGCTTTGAGATGAAGCTAGGTGTGGTAATATTTGCATCCAAGATGAGTCGTAAACAGTTTTGTAAACCTGGCTTACTTTATATGATATAGAAGATCTCCATAGACATTTGAAAATCTCAGATTGGAATATTATAGGAATTTCTAGTATTTTTAAATTATAAAAATCATTTCTTTTGATGATTATTTATCAATAGCCCAGAGTTCATTCGTGAATTGGGGTATAGTAATGATGAAAAAAGAGGAGGTGACCGAAGTGTGTTTTCTTTTTTCTCATTGGGTGTATATGTGGAGTATTTTTGTCTTCTGATCAGATAGTTCATTATGCTCCCTTTTGGATGTGTGTACTGTTTGGCCTTCCAACCTGCATGCTTATTCAAAGGCATTCCAAGTCATTATGTTGGACTTCAGCCTTGTTCAGTAAAAGGCTATTTCCTCCATCAGCTGTCCACTTGGACATACATTCTTTTTACTCGCAAAAATATTTCATATGCATTCAGTTTATATTAGATGCATTTGTCAAATTACTCACAAATAATCAGTTTTTTAAGGTTATAATTTGAGGTATGACCTCTCAAACTGTAAATTATAAGGTTTGACCTTTTTGGTTCACAGTTTGACATAACAGCCATTAATTACAGTTTTTAAAGAACATTTTATTTCATTTAGAATTTGTATTTTGAAAACAGTTTAAGTATTTTCTCTCTAAGTTTTTGGAATAAATGTGGAAATGTAAATGCATATGTATCTATATATAATATATACATTCAAATATACTAAATAGATTGCATATATACGCATGCTATATTCAAATGTGTTTATGCATAGTACATTGGTATACATATATACAAATATTTTTATATAATAGCTTGTGAGTTAACACTAAGATCTTCTTTTATACAACTCTAGCATCAGGATGAGATCAACTCTTTTTTTTTTTTTTGAGACAGAGTCTCGCTGTGTCACCTAGGTTGGAGTGCAATGGGGTGATCTTGGCTCACTGCAACCTCCGCCTCCTGGGTTCAAGCAATTCTCGTGCCTCAGCCTCCTGAGTAGCTGGGATTATAGGTGCCCGCCACCACGCCTGGCTAATTTTTGTATTTTTAGTAGAGATGGGGTTTCACCACATTGGCCAGGCTGGTCTTGAACTCCTGACCTCGGGTGATCCACCCGCTTCGGCCTCCCAAAGTGTTGAGATTACAGGCGTGAGCCACTGCGACCAGCCGAGATCAACTTTTTAAATGTATTTATCAGGGTGAAAGAGACTTTATTACCATTTGAATCTAGGCTTTCCCCCCTTTTTTTTCCCTTGAGGAGGAATGCAAAAGTATATGCCTACAAAATGCCCAGTGTCTGACAGTAATTTGAAAGTCTTGAAGACCATTTGAAGTAGCATGGTGTGGGAGAATGTAAACTGTTCAAGTAGTTTTTGCAAATGTACACTGAAGATACTGAGATAGAAAGTACAGTACATACCAGAAAGGTCAGTTTAGGTAAACACAGAAAGATATCCAGATGTGTGAACACTTTGCTGATATCATCAGTATTTGAAATGGAGGAATTTAGTATGTTTTTTATTGGATAAAAATAAGATATTTATATAGCTGAAAATAACACCAAGTATAACGTTTTCTGCTGCTATTTAATAAAATCTATTAATATTTAGATGATTTCTTCACTTCTGAACAGGTTTTCTCATTTTGTGCTAAACTGTGTTCTTTGTTGCTAAATTCACAAAATTAAATCTAAAATACTATGGAGAGATGAATACTTAAAAACATCTGAATAATTATCTTCAAGGTTACACAACCACCTCTTTGTATTTTAAGTATTTTAGAAATGGTTAACTTGGTTTTGTTCAAATTATTCTCTAGGTTAAAACTAGCGTGATGTGTTTCATAACAGAAAGTTAATTTAGGCAACAGCACTGAAAGCAAAGAACTCTTCAGGAAGGTGACTCTTTTCTTATAGAATAGATAGTATTATCCTAAAATGTTTCCCATGAAAAATGTTTTCCCAGTATGTTTGAGTGTACTTTTTAAAGATTTTTTAAAAAAATATTTAACTTTATGTAAATATTTTCATTTTAATTTCAGAATTATGTTACTACCTTAGTTAACTCTAGAGCTTTGAGTGGCTTGTTTTTAACAGACTGATGTAATTTTGGAGTTCTTTATTGATAGGTATATGTGAACGTTTGTTTATTTAACCTGTATGTTTTGTACTTCCTATACTGGACATACCATTTTATTTTCCACTGGATTTGAGATTCAGTCTTGACTGAACTATTCACTAACAGTTGGGCAAATTACTTTAGTTCTCTGGGTTTAAGCCTACACACCGATAAAATAAAATGGAAAAAATAACATCTATCTCTTGGGGTTATAATTAGGATTGGAGATATTATTAATAAATTGATGAATTGAATACCTAGCACATAGAAAGTGTTAAATAACTGATGATTATTTAAATTGGAGAAATGTTCACCATATTTAGAAAATATTAAAACTTTTTTAAACAATTTCCATCTTTCTGATAAATTTGCTACATTTTTCTTCATTCACCTCGTGTGCTTCTTTATTTTTTTGCATGTTCTCTGTTTTTATCTACCTAATTTCCCCAAGTTTATCTTTGAACCTGGAGTTACCGTCTCACCAATACTATACTGGAAGGGAAAGAGATTATTCCTTAAAAGGAAATCAGTATACCGTTACAAAGAAGTAATTGATGTTCCAAAAAGAGGCAAGTATTTGTCATAGGCCATGTGTTTAGACATTTCTAAAATACTATAAAAACAGGATCTAAGCTGTAGAAAGTCTTTTTCTGATTAGGTAGTTTGGATGGCATTCTTTTCTTTTAAAACTCATTAGTTTATGGATTTTAAGGAAATGTTTGCCTCTTTTTTTATTTTTCTAAAAGCAAACACTTAACAGTAAAGACACAACCTAAGGAATGGAAGAATATGTTTTCAAAATGTACACCTGATAAGGGGTTAATATCCAAAATATATAAGGAACTCAAACAACTCAATAGTAAGAAAACAAATAACCCAACTGAAAAATAGGCAAAGGACCTGAATAGACGTATCTCAAAAGAAGACATACAAATGGTTAATGGGTATATGAAAAAATGCTCAACATCACTAATCATCGGAGAAATGCAAATTAAAACCACAGTGAGTACCACCTCACACCTGTCAGAATGGATGTTATCATGTGACCATCAATGGAGGAATAGATAATAATATACATAAACATGATGCAATGTAAGTCATCTTTAAAAAAGAAAATGCTGTTATTTGTGACAACATGGATAGACCTGGAGGATTTTTAAGTGAAATAAGCCAGGTACAGAAAGACAAATGCTGCATGATCTCACTTATATGTGGAATCTAAAAAAGTCAAGCTCATAGAAACGGAGAGTATAATGTTGGTTACCAGAGGCTGGGATGAGAGACTGGGGAGCTGCTGGTCAAGGGGTACAAAATTTCACTTAGACAGGAGGAATAAGTTGAAGAGATATGTTGTACATTGTGTAAATAAAAATATACTCTATACTTAAAAATTGCTATGAGAGTATACCTTAAGTCTTCTCACTACAAAAATATGTGGAGTAAGGCATGCGTTAAAAATAGCATGTTGTATATCATAAGTATATACAACTTTTAGTTGCCAATTAAAATTTAAAAAACAAAAACAACATCATGATATATTAACTAAGGGAGAATTTTCAAAAGGCAGAAAATTTCTGAAATTAATTATAAACAGATTTTTATATCACAAAGTACATTTAATTATTTGCAGATTTCTCAGGATTCCCTGGGGTATAAACCTAACAGCTTCTCTTTCTACTGGCTTCCATTAATATGTTATCATCCCATCTTTCAGATAGACATATTTTAGGAATTTTTTTCCACATGGCACAAATTCTTTGATCTAAATGCAAGGGCTTCCAAATAACATTATGGGAGGTTTGAAATTTGAAAATGTTTTTCAAAGATCAGTAGGCTTAGAAGAATTCAGTTTAATTTGAAGGAATTTATTCAGACCTTATCCTTGTTTAGTAGTGTTATCTCTTTACCTTTTCCTATCCCTCATATTACATAAAAGCTAACACAAGATGACATTGAAAATTCTTAATTCGGTCTCAGTCCACTCTTTGAGCCCCTAACTTCCAAACTCCCATATCTCTTCCCATCACCCCCCGCCTCCTCCACCCAGGCACATAGTTCTTTCAACACACACTTCACTGTTTGCTGTCTTTTAAATACACTGTGGATGCCATGCTTTCTGCCTTTGCTCTTACTGTTCATTTAGCCTGCTATAGTCTGCACATGACCCAGAAAAAACTTGCTATTTCACCAGCAGAGGCCTTATTTATCCTCTACAGATCAACTGATCTTTTCTGTGTCTTCTTAATGCATGAGTATGATTTACCATATTGTAGCATAGTGTTTTTTGGGTTTTGTTTGTTTGTTTGCTTTTTGAGACAGACTCGCACTCTGTTGCCCAGGCTGGAGTGCAGTGGCCCAATCTTGGCTCATTGCAACTTCTGCCTCCCGGATTCAAGCATTTCTCATGCCTCAGGTTCCCAAGTAGCTGGAATTACAGGCGTGCTCCACCACACCTGGCTAATTTTTGTATTTTTGGTAGAGACGGGGTTTCACCATGTTGACCAGGCTGGTTTTGAACTCCCGACCTCAGGTGATCCACCCACCTTGGCCTCCCAAAGTGCTGAGATTACAGGTGTAAGCCTCTGCACCCAGCCTATTAAAGTTTTTAACTCATGCCTGGCTCCTTTCTAGATGGTAAGCTTCTTGAGAGAAGGGAGTATGTCATGTTCATTTTTGTGCTTAGCTCAAAGTATTTACTCAATAAATGTTTACTAAATTGATTAGACTATGAATGGACTTAAAGAAACTACATGGTCAGTTGTATACATAATTTATCCATAACAAAAATATAGGAAAAAGGGGTTCTTTAAAAATTTGTTTACTAAATTTCCCTCGGCTTACTATCTGATTTCCTTGAGGCCAAGGTGTTTGTTTTGATGCTTATTTTTATAGTTTCAGTAAGGAAACAAAAGTTTTGTCTTATACACAGCAACAAAGTTGAATATAATTTTAAGACAAAAGACATTTTCAAGGCAAAAAAACTACTTGTCAAAGTAGTTTTCAATTATAGTACTTGGAATGAAAACATTGAAAGATTAATACAGAAAGTCTTAGAAGTGTTTAATACTCCATAGTTTTAAAATACTCACCATTGATTATTGTACTTAGTTTGAAACATTTTTTAATATGTATAGACTTAACCTAGGATCTTGAATTTAGGCAGCAATTAGCCTTTTACATGGACCTGTTTGGAAAGCATTATAAAATAACAGCACCTTCCCAAAGAAAGATGTGGTTGCGGTAAAACTTCACTCATTTGTTTAATAATGTTTCAACTGAAACAGGTGCCTTACTTGCTTTGTTCTCCAGAAGCAGCTTTATAGATTTAAGCACTGAGTATACAGTACACAGTGGCACTATTAACAAATCAGAATGAGGCCAAGGGAAAATTCATCTAGGATCCACACACCTAAATGCAGTTAGTAAACAGAGACACCAACTCTCATTAAGCATAATTAAACCTAATATTGACTGTAAACTGTTACTTACCTTAAACTTCTCTATAGAGAGTGTGGAAAGGGATTAACCTAGCAGATTGGGACATTAATTACTACCTCTTTCACATTAGAGTTACCATCAAGAAGGGCTATATTCATAAATAAAACATAGGAGGGATTGAGAGACTGAAAATATGTAAATTTATTTTATAAAAAGGAATGAAAAGTCTAAATTGAAAAAAAAAAGTGAGCTGTGAGTGATGCCAGCTTCAGCAAAATGGAGCTCTGGCTAATTACTACAAAAAAACTAGGCTTAAATAATTATAGAAATGTACCCTTGCCTTCTGACTGACAGAACCTGTTTCACAAGAGACTCCAGCTCAACTAAGTACACTATTTTTCATGCATAGCTTCCTCCACTTTCTTAAACTAATATGGAGTTTAAGAGAGGATGAAGGGACTTGGGAGAAATACAGTTTTTCCCTTTTTTTCTCAGTCATTAATAGCCTTTTATTTATGAAATTGATTATAATGACTATATAAATGTTTTTTGGTTTGTCAACAAGAAGGCACAGTGCTGTTTTTTGTTCAGTCAAAATGGTCCACTAACTGGTCTCCTGCTACTATTTAATAATCTCCTTCTTGGGTGCAATCTAAAAGGTATGTTTTGAAGGATATAAAAATGTCAGCTAAATTTAAGATCGACTGTTAAGCTTTTATATTATACTGCTGCCCCAAGGGGGAATACCAGGATCTAGGAGATAAGAATTTAAAGAGAAAAGCAAAATAATGACAATACAAACTTATCTACCAGCCTTAGAATTTCCTTCAAAATCTATCGGGCTGTCTGTCTGCAGTGAGTGTAGACTGTTATCTTATTACTTGTTTTTATTTCCTTTCCAGTAAGGGACCAGATACTCACATCTGGGTGGGGTTACTTATTACTTCACCAGGGTGGGGTTCTAATTTTTGGAACCAAATCCCATATACAATTTTGTGTATGGTTGTTGTATTAAACCACAGTTTAGGTTTAATATACTAGGCTCTTACCTAGATTTTAGTGCTATCATGCTAAATTCTATCTTTCATGTGTTCATGAGCACCAGAAGAATATAGCAACTGTGCATGTGGAAAAGGGAGCTTAGAAAGTAAGCCTGGAGCATGTATTCATTTTTGTAGTGGAAGTGGAGTTCAATTTTAAAATAAAACCCCTAATTTTTCCCTGAATTTAATGCTCATTTCACAATTTATGAGACTAACTTATGCAACAGCAGTAATTAATGGACAAAAATCTATCCTTCATTTTTCCCGTTGAACAGAAATTTGCAAACTGGTTGGATGACAGAGGATGAACGAAAACAGTAAGAGTAAGAGTACTTCTATCCTCTGTTCTTGTAACAATCGTGACATTATGAAATAACCATAACAATAGCATTCTTATTAATCAGACATATTTATACAGAATTAGTGTTGGCTTCTGCTCTATATTACCTTTAGTTTTATATGAACTTTTATTATCTGTGCATATCAAAAGAGACATGGTGAATGAACAAAGAAGCCCTGTTATGAGACAAGTATTATTTGACATTTTGGGAAGCTCTTATTATAGGGTTTCCTCTTAGGCAAGAACAACGGGAAGGTTGTCATTAGTTGCACTACTACAGATACTCTGGATTTTTAAAAACAGAAATGGAGCCCACTTTTTTCCTTGAAGAAGATTCATCAATTAGAACAATTAGAGTGATCTGAGACTTCCAACCGAGACTTGTCCTCCTAATGTTCTTGTTTTATCATGTGAAACAATGACCTCATAAGGCATCTTTTAAGATAATTGATTTTTCCTTGGATTACAGAGCTAGATAGCTGTATGGTACCCTTATTTTTCAAAGATGAATAATTATTTTTAGACTTCTGGAAAATCTCTGATTAAACCAAAATGCAGAAGTCTTGCAAGGTCTACAACCCTACTGCAAACCAGATGCCTTTTATTTTTTGTATTGAAGGAGGATAGTTCTAAGTTCTTTTGAGATCCTTTTCCTGGGCTTATGACATATTTGACTAGGAATTATGGTTAAAAAAAAAAAACGAGTATGGTGGGTAATACTGAATCTCCTCTTAAAACCGCTGGACCCACACTTTCAGAGATTGACCAGTTATCATGTATTTTTTTTTTTTTTACCTGTAGAAGGACACTCACATTTCTTCAAAGAAATGTTTCTACTCTCTATTTCCATTTCTTCACCAATCCATTCAGCAATTCACCTTGTCTGCTGCAGGGACCTCCATCACTTCTCCAAATTAACTCTCACTGGGACCTCACTGAGCATTTGATCTTGCTGACCACTCCTTCCTTATTGCAATGCTTTCTTCCCTTATTTTTCATGGCGTCATGCTTTCTTGATTTTCTTCCTATGCTCCTTGTCATTTCCTCACTATGTCCTTTGCAGGCATTTTTTTCTGATATCCTCACTATGTCCTTTGCAGGCATTTTTTTCTGATAGCTATTAAATGTTGGATCTCCCTAAGACTGGATCCAAAGCACTTCTGATGATGTCTAGAATTTTGAATATCTTTGTAACCAGAACACATTGAAATGTTTTCAGGGAATGTATTATAATTCTTTTAAGGTTCTTGTTTAGGGACCATATTTTAAAGGCCACATTTATGTGAACAGTTTTGTATTCTTTATCACTAGTGAAATATAATACTCAACACATCCCCATAGGGGAGCTCATGTGGTACTTTTTGTTCAAGTTTGTAAACGTTATGAAATCTTCCTGATGTCTATATGTTTTAACCTTGGGCAATTATTAATCCTCTGTAGCTCAGTTTCTTAATCTGTAGTACGTAGGGAGTCATCCCAGCTCTTTAGGATTCCGTGATGCTGTGGTTTGATATTTTACTATTTGAAAAGGATAGTGAAATATAAATATGTGCAGTTGACACTTTGAATTCCACAGTCAAAATTTATAAAAGCATTCTCTCATCATTTCCACTTCACATTTTCTTCCTATATCTAACATAGTTTTGTGCTTGTGAAAATATGTATTTCTAATTCCATGTTTACCCAAAATTTATTTGCACAGTTATTGCTATGAAACTTTCTCAAAAGCCTTTTGAAAATCTGAATAGATTATATATTCTAGTTACTGCATTTGCAGATGCTTCTTTAATGCCACAAGAAGCCTAGATAGAGAGGCTCAATTCACCAAGTGGGCAAAAGCTTTTCGTGTATCTTCCTGTTTTATACATATTCCCACTGTTTGCCTTTGGTTACAAAGGCTGCTTCTAAACCCCTTTTTTGGGGGAATTTGGCCACATTGCCAATCTTTCAGTACTTTGTGAAAATGGCCATTTTAAGAACAAGTTAGTTTTTCTGAGCACAGTTTTACTTTTGATTGGTACCTATTTGATGCTAGTGACTTATCTGCAGCTAGCTTTTTAATTAAGAAAGACTTTTGTATTTGCCACTGTTTTAAATCTAGACTCTCTAAATTTGTATGCTTCAAAATATATTTGAGGCATGAGAGTCTCCAAGTGTGTGTGTGTGTGTGTGTGTGTGTGTGTGTATGTATATAAATATAGATGTGTGTGTGTGTGGTGTGTGTGTACATATATATCTTTTGTTTTTGACCTAGAACAACTACTGTTTGAATTTCCTTACTTGTTACTAGCTGACTGATTCTCTTTGGCATACAAACAAAACAACAAAAAACAAAAACCGCATTTGGTGTTGGTGTCCCTTGCAAATTTGTCATCATTTTTCTTATTTATTTATTTACTTAGTTACTTACCTTTCCAAATATCTAATGTCTTTTCTTTCTTCCTTTGGATATTTTTTAACTGTATACTCCAGTGGGCAATCCACCTGGATTTCCCCTTAGACATTCCACTATGTGATCTGCCTTCTCTCATATGAGTGATCTTTTCATTTTAAAAATGGTGTTTTCTCTCATGTTTGTTAATTTTGTCATTTAAAAGTAAAGGAGGATATTCTTCATTCCAATTCTCTTTTCCCTCATGTCAATTTTTTTTGTTTATTAACATTTTATTGAGGAAAATGTTTGAAGATAAGCCTTATACAACCTGTGTGGTATTCTGTTTTAAAAACACTCTTTAGTGTGTTTGAGGTTAGCTGTTCATCTCTAATTGTCATTAGTGCTCATTAGGGGAAGTGAGAAATCACTTCAGTTTTTCTTGGGTTTCTGGAAGGAAAGTAGTTGAGACATTCAGAGTATTTGTGAATTTTAATTTTTGGTCACCTTAAAACTTGGTTATATATAGTTTGGTCCCACACTATCCAGGAATAGGAAAATTTATGTGTGAAAATCTAAGTACAGTGTTATCACTTCTGGGTAATTTATGAATTCTAGCTATTTCTCCTGAAGTCTTCAAAATGCCTATTATTACTTTCTTTTTCTTTCTTTTTTTTTTTTTCTGAGACAGACTCTCACTCTATTGGCCAGGCTGGAGTGCAGTGGTGCAATCTCGGCTCATGGCAACTTCTTCCGCTTCCTAGTTTCAAGTGATTCTCCTGCCTCAGCCTCCTGAGTAACTAGGATTACAGGTGTGTGCCACCACCCTGGCTAATTTTTTGTATTTTTAGTAGAAATGGGGTTTCACCATGTTGGCCAGGCTGGTCTCAAACTCCGGACCTCAAGTGATCTGCTCGCCTTGGCCTCCCAAAGTGCTGGGATTACAGACATCAGCCACTGCGCCCAGCCCAAAATGCCTATTATTTCAAGCTAGGGAAAGGTAACTAAGATTTTTAAATCCGTAAGAAAAAGACTGTATTCTGCTCTGAATAAGAAAATCTCACCCACTCCAGTGCAAGTGTTAATTTTGTGCTCCAGTAGGAAGTCACCAGCTGATTTTTGTCTTCATTAAAAAATTTTTAAATGTTGAACTGTTACTAGATTTTATGGATGAGGATAGTAGATGGAGCATTATGAACTGTTTATTACTGTCACACAAAGTAAGTTACAGGAAGTAAGAAAAAATATTACAAAATAAATTCTTTAGACAGTAATCATGATTTCTCCTTATTGGATTTTGCCTGGAGAATAGCAGATCCACAAAAGAGTAAATAATCAACATAAATTGATAGTGAAAATTCCTGAAGTTTTTCCCTGAAAAGGGAGCTTGACAAAGCAAATGGCTTTACAGCTTTAAGGAAAATCTCACTTCTGAAATGCTGTGTATTAATAAACACAGATATTTGTGTAGAGACACTCAAATGGAGATGAGTTCATTTTTAGTACAATGTGTGGGGAGTGACATGCATGGAATTCCATTAATAGCAATGTATGTTGTGTTCTTTTCATTTCATTTTGCTAATGAATTTAGTATTAGATTGATGGGTGCTAGGAAAGGAAGACTTAATTTGCAGAATAAGTAGCTGGAACAGTGTACACGTCCCAGATAAGAGCTATCAAAGCTGACCTCCATTCATCCTGGAGGACAAACTCTAGATACAAAAGGATACTTAGAAACACTTGCTTCTCATCAGATATGAGTTGAGCTAGCAACCTTTTGTCTATGGATTCATATTTATCTCTAGATGGTGATAACTCCTCCTAGGTAGCATTTAAAATGTGTGGTTGTCACGATGAAAAGGAAGCACTACTGGAATTCAGTGGATAGGGGAAAGATATGATGTTAAATCCTGCCATGAATAGCTGAAATTACTTAGAAAAGAGATTTGCCCAGTCACAAAGCCAATAGTGTTTCTGTAGAGAAATGCTGTTAGGGCCATAAGATAGATGTTCTTTACGGCAGTGGTTTTCATACATTTTCCTAATAATCCACAGAGATAAATGCATTTAAATCATGACACAGTCTACATGCAGTCATATAATTAAAACAAAATTTCATAAGACAGTATTTACCCTTCCTATGTGTTGCATTTTCCATTCTATCCTCTAGTATCTCATCCCATCCCATCCTATCCTACTTTATCTTATCCTATTTTATCTTATCCTAACTTTCCTTTAAAGTCTACAGCCCACTATCTTAATTTCAAGAGCACTGACAGTGTGACCTACAGTTTGAGAAACACTGTTTTAGAGCTCTTTAAATTTTCTGGTGAAGATAGGATAAAAGAGAAAATAACTAAAGAGTTGCCTGCAGTATGATTTAGTTTCCTTATAACCTAAGCAGAACACAACATTTTCATGTGTAACTATTGTCCAAATTTTGTTTTGGAAGAGGTGTGGACCTGTATGCCAGCAGTCCAGGCATAAAGCCTAACTGCCACCTTTGCCCTCTGTTGCCATGATAATGAGGGAAGGGAAACAGAAAACTCTAGCCCAGCTCACTCACAGAATTTGGATCCAAAGGCTCAAAGCTGCCTCTATGTTGCTGGAACAGTGTACATTGTTGCGTATTAGGAACCATGTGGCATTATGTCAGTATGAACAGGTTCACTGAGATGAGAGTGAAACACTTTGCTCTTCCTGTCAAAGTGAGTCATCCCTAAGCTGTTCGATAATGATTTGGTATATTAGGCCTCTCCGTTACATGTTGTTGATTGAGGAAAATGCAGAGTCAAATAGCCTGCATGTTTTGGTGTAGTGCCCAATTTATCGTAGTTGTATAAAGTTAACCAAGATTCTTGGATCCTCAGGATATTTCCAGATATAGCTTGTCAAAATGTTTGTAAATGCGTACTTGCTGATGGCAAGCCTGCCATTATACCTTAATTTTCTTCAGGTCATCCACCTACTTCAAACTGAAGTGATTATACAAATTAAATCTAATCTATGATTCCCAGCTGAGGGAGGGAAAGGTTATGTTGAAAAAAGCTTCCCTAGTGATTTCAGTATGTCTTCCTAGTTGAAGATTATTATTGGCCTATTTCCAGGATGTCTACCTTGCTGTCTTAAAGTCTAAGTCATCAGAAGACCTGCAGAACAGGGTTTGGTCACAAAGGGGTGAACTGAATGTGGGGGATTTTCCGCTGTCATCTTCCTTGTTTGTGGGTTATTGTCTTGAGTATTTGTCCACTTGCTTGACTGAAAAGGCCAGGTTTTAACTTTGTCCCCTGCTTTTGTTGTGTTGTCCCAGTGACAATTGGAAAATAACCTGAGTAGTGAATTGGAAGTTTATTTTGGGGGAACAAGATCATTCAATTCAGCTCCTGCTCCTATGAGCTGAGTTTGATTAGCATTTTTTTGCATACTTTTGTCAATATAGCATGTGTTTATCTTGTCGTTAGAGACCTTGGTATTATTTTCAGTAGTAGAACATATTTAATACTAAATCTTTAGCATGATATATGGGTGTTTCAGATCCATCTATTAATTAAAACCATCACTATTTGGCACCAAACTTTAGATTTAAACAATTGTTAGACCTAGTATGTCACAAAATTTGCCTTTTCCTTTTCCATTTTCACTAAAACCTCCTGGTTATTTTCCACTTATATTGCTCTATCTATGAAAAGTGGCCATTTCTTTAAAAACAAAACAGAATAAAGTACACCCCCCACCTCCATTTTTTTGTTTGTTTGTTTGTTGGTTTAACCTTACCCAGAAGAACTGATTCCCTAGAAAGCCAAAGTCAGAGAGGTGATGGAGTGGCAGTTGTTTTTCCTTTTCCTCTTTGGAGCTATCATTTCTATTTGAAGATGATGACTTACCATCATCTTCCCTTACAGTGAGAAATATCTTGCATGGAAGACATCTCTGTGGATGATTTCAAGGTTGAGTACTAGAGCTAAGATGATGAGAACTTGGCCCACTTCAGTTGGGCAGTGTGAAAAGAAACAGTGTGATTTTTGTCAGTCTTTAGAGAGTGGTTGTCATTAAGTCAGTAAAGCAAGATCAGAAGACCTGCACAACAGTGCAGCTAACAAGTGAATTCAATTCAGGGGTTAGGAATGATGCAAACAATGTGGAGAGAAAAAGACAATTTCGTATGTGCTCTGTAAACAGAACTCAGGCAACTGTGTTTTGTTTATATTGATCCTCAACCACTTAGTGCATGGATAGATATATCTGACTTTTAGCTAGAGTGTTCAGGTATACAGCAGAAGGTGCAGCTATGCTGTCTCTGTCTACTGCCATTTAGTAACTTGTCCAAGAATCTCTGGAGCTGGAGTTATCAGAATTCTTTCATATTTATAGGAGGTCTAATTGTGCTGGTTTATCCTGAGTTGGTGAAGGGCTCAAAGCTTGATCTCCAACTTTCAGGGCACCATAGGGGCAGTAGTGCCCTTCACCTCAGGATTCACCTGCTCTTTGTGGGGTAGTTGCATGGGATGACACAGAACTTCAAAGTTCTACTTGGCAGACAAGAAGTTTCCTTTAGAATTACTATTCACCACTCTGTGGGCAGATAAGCTTTGTCAGCAGCAATGGCAGCTGCAAGTGAAGACACCTTTGTTTACCTTTGTTCCTTGGTATCAGCAAGAGAAACATGGAATCTACCTAGCTTCATAAGATGTTGTTCTAGCCAGAACTCAATGAAGTTTTATGTTCCCCTGATACTTCCCTTGGAAGATGAGTGGCCTCTAACAGTATTTGCAGTTGAGTGCACTTTAGGTGCCCCAAACCTTATCTTAGCTTAGAAGAAACCAGTGACAATTCAACTTTCACTTATTCTCAGTGTTCTCATTGAAGCATGCTGGCACTGGCCCTGACACTTAAACTCACACTGCTTAGTCGAATCCTTCTTAAAGTAAAAAACACTTTCTCAGATAATGCTATCTAAGGTAGGACTTTCTTACTAATCCATACCATAGTACCATGTTTACTTCCTATTTAGCATATTTTGCTATCTGTAAGAGTGTGTGTGTATATGTGTGTGTGTGTAACTAAAATAGAAATAAGAAGGACACATTAAACTTATTTCAGACTCATTACCTGATTTCTTTTAAGGATTAATATGTAGTAAAAATCTAAATATTTTTATAGCTACCTACCTACCACCTTACTGATTTTATAAGAAAATATTGGTTTTCTGTTTGTTGAATCATTTCACATTATTAAAAGGGCCACTTTCTGATTTTTGATTATTTTCCTAAGCAAGTACCACGTACCTTTTATATAAGATTCTAAAGAATTGATAAATGGGGTTTAAAAACAAATATTTAAAGCAAATATTCAGCTTAACTGAAGTCAAAACTATTTGGATTACACAAATATTTAAACAAAGTAACAAGCCTGTTTCATAAAAGTATGAAAACTGCACTTTCACAGTGAGATCAGCAGAAATTCATTTCTATAAAACTTTCTTTTCAGTTTACATCTTACAAAGATTTGACCTCCCCCATTCTCAGCTTTCTGCCTCTGCTGATATGACTTATCTCTGAAGAAGTAACCATTACTCTTACGAAAACTGTAGTTGGCTATATCAAAAAACCTTACTCATGTTAACCTAAAAATTTGGTAAGGAATATAATCTCTTAAATGCTGTTAAGTTTCTGAATGATCATATGCTCTCTCTTATGAAGCTAATTTTTTCAGTTCTGTTTTTACTAATTATATATTAGTCTATTACTGAGAGAAGGGTGTTGATATCTCCAAATATAATTGTAGATTTTTCCATTTCACCTTTCAGTTCTGTCAGTTTTTATGTCTTCATGTATTTTGAAGCTCTGTTGTTAGGGCATACAGATTTAGACTTATTATATATTACTGGCTAATTAACTCTTCAACATTATATGATGTCCTTTGTATCACTGGCAGGTTTCTTCACTTTGAGATCTACTGTGTCCAATATTAATATAGCCATTCCAGCTTTATTATAATTGGAGTTTGCAGCACGTACACTTTTCTTCAAACCTACCTTTTTCATTATATTTGAAGTAAATTTGTTGAAAACAGTGTATAATTGGGTCATTAAAAAAAATCCGTTCTGATAATCTCTGTCTTTAATTGGTATATTTATGCCATTTACATTTAATGTAATTATTGTTACATTTGAATTAATGTCTTTCATTTTATATTTTGTTTTCTGTTTGTTTCTTCTGTTTTCCTTTGTTTTTCATTTTCTGTTTTGTTTTGGGTTATTTGAACATTTTTTAGCATTCAATTTAAATTTATCTATTGTTCTTCTGACGATATTTCTTTGTATAGTTGTTTTTAGAGGTTGTTCTAAAGTTGTTCAATATACATATCTTTTTATACTCTTCTTAGAATCAATATTTTAGACATTTAAATAGAATGTAGAAATCTTACAACCATATAAGTCCTTTTACTCTCCCAGTTTTGCATTATTGTTTTGTCATATATTATATCTACATACATTGGAAGCCCCGTCAGATAATGTTGTAATTTTGCATTAAATTGTCAAACATGTTTTAAAGAACCCAAAAGAATAATCGTTTCTTATATTTACTCATAGGTTTATCACTTTTTTTCCTCTTCCTTCATTCCTAATGTTCAGTGTTTATATCAGTGGCAATGTTGTATCATTTGTCTTCTGTCTGGAGAGCTTCCTTTCAGCAAATGTTTTAGAGCAGGTCTCTTTTATACAGGATATAGAATTCTCTGTGCTCTCTCAGACCTTTAAAAAAGGGGTGCCATTTCCTTCAGGTTTTCATGGTTTCTGATGAGAATTCCACAGTCATTTGAATGGTGTTTCCCTACAGATAATGTGTGATTTTCTCTGGATGCTTTCAAGACAGTTTTCCCTGTCTTCAATTTCCAGCAGTTCTATTTTAATGTATCCAGAGATTGATTTTTTTTTTTTCTGTTTGGGGTTTGCTGTACTTCTTGACTCTGTGGGTTTATGTATTTCACAGAATTTGAGAATTTTCTAGCCACTATTTTGTCAAATACCTTTTCAGAATTATAATCTTAGTCAATTTTCTGCTGCTATAAAAGAATACCAGAAATTGGATAATTAATACAGAACAGACATATTTATTTGGCTCACAGTTCTAAAAGCTGAGAAGTCTAAGATCATGATGCTAGCATCTAACAAGGGTGATCTCATGATGGAAGGCATCATGTGGCAAGAAAGCACATGACAGAGAGGACACTGGGCCAAACTATTCTTTTTATCAACAACTCACTCCTGTGATAACTAATAAACTCCCACATTAATGACATTAGTCTATCTTACTTACCTCTTAAAGGTCCTGATACTCAACACTGTTACAATGGCAATTAAATTTCCACATGAGATTTGGAGGGGGCATTCAACACATAGCACACTCTTTCTTCTCTGCTTCTGTTAATATAATGACATGAATGCTAGACTTCTTGTTATTGTCCCACAGGTTTCTGAGCCACTTTTTTTCTTTATTGCTCATATTGCATAATTTCAGTTGATCTATCTTAAAGTTTATTGACTGTTTTCTGTATTATCTTTATTTTGTTGGAAACCATCCAGTGATATTTTGTTGTATTTTTTTAAAATTTTATTTTTGAGTTTTAAGCCTGTTTCTCATTGCTTGTTTCAGCATTTTTAGAATAGTAAATTTAAAGTTTTTGTCAAACAATTCCAACATCTGTGTCATTTTAGGTTTTATCTCCATTGATTATGTTTTCTCATATGAGTTCACATGTTCCTAGTTCTTCTTGTGCCTGGTGATTTAGGATTATTTCTTAGATATTCTTAATATCATGTTATGAGATTCTGAGTCATATTGAAATTCTATGGAGAATGTTGACATTTTTGTTTTAAAAGGCAATTGACCTGGTTAGGTTCAGGTTGTAAGATACAAGATTCCTTCTGTGGTTTCAATATCAGTTTTGCTTACGGTGCTTTTCAGGTCTGTCCTGTGTGTATACCAGTGAACAATCTTGGATGTAGACATTGGTCTATCTGTTAATTTCATTCTTAATTGTATTCATATGCTGATTAACATCAGATCCATGCATGTACAGCTAAAGATGAGCCCAGAATTTTGTAACCCTATAAGATCACTTTCTGCAGCCCCTTTTTCTCTGTGCTCTCATTAGTATTTTTTAGTTTTCCTGGAGCTCCCCTTTATGTCCTCCAGCCAGCAAGCTGGGGCTTTATTTACCTCATATGCACATTTCTGTGACTATGCCCATATTTAAGGCTAAGTAGCAGGAAAACAGAGAAAAAAAAACAAAAGCAATGGAAATTCTTATGGTCGCAATTGTTTTTAAAGATAATTTTTAAATGAAATATTTTAGTGCAGGAAAACAGTTACAAATTCAGAAATTATAAAAATATAGGTAAGTGAATTTTCACAAAGTGAACATATTCATGTAAGCAGCACCAGACCAATAAAAAAACATTAGCAGACCACAAAGATCCCTTTATCTATCTTTCCAGTCTCTACTTCCTCAGGATAACCACTATCATGACTTCTAATATTAGTTTATTTTTGAAAAATATAGAAATAGAATCATGTGATTATATATTCTTCTGTATGTGGCTTCTTGTGCTCACATTATGTTTCTGAGATTCATTTATATTATGTTGCATTTACATGTGCTTGCAGATTTTAAAACTATTTTATTGCTTTATAATATTTCCATGTATTAATATAATCACAATTCTATTATTATTATTTTCAGCTCTTCTACTATAGATGGACATTTGGCTTATTTCCAGTTTGAAGCCATTATGAATTGTGGTGGCCACATGCATATTCTACTACATGTCTTGTTTTACATATTTAAGCATTCTTATTGGATATATGCTGAGGAGTGATATTGCTGGTGTGCTTATGTTCAGCTTTAGTAGATAGTGCCAAATAATTTTCAATGTTATTATACCAATTTACATGATCAGTAGCAGCACAGTAATGCCCCTCCCACTTGATTCATGATTTCAGTTTTCCACAGTTTCAGTTATCCGTAGTCAGCTGCAGCCCAAATTTTATCATCTCATATCATCACAAGAAGGGCTCACCCTTAAGTACAAAAAGATGTTTTGAGAGGGAAATAGAGAGAGAAGAGGAGGGAGGGAGACCACATTCATATAACCAGTATAGTGCTAGAATTGTTCTATTTTATGATTAAGTATGTTGTTAATCTCATACTGTTCCTAATTTATACATTAATGTTAAATAAATTAAATCTTAAATAGGTATAAATACGTTAAATCTTAAATAGGTATTTATGTATAGGAAAAAAACATAGTATTTGTAGGATTGGGTACTATTTGCAGTTTCAGGTATTCACTAAGGGAGGTGGAGTGTATTCCCCATGGATAAAGGGGGACTACTGTATAAGAGAGATCCTATTGTTCTACTCGTCGAAAACACTTGGTCTTTTTTCATTTTAGTTTTTCAGGCATGTGTGACATGGTAGCCCATGATATGATGGCTTTGGTTTGCATTTCTCTAATGATTAGTGAAATTAAGCGTCTTTTCATATGTTTATTTTCCACTTGGGTATCCTCTTTTGTGATGTGCATGTTGAAAGGTATTGTCCATTTTCCAGTTGGGTTTGTTTCTGTTTTTATTATTAAGTTACTGGGATTTCATTTTATATTCTGATATATACTTCTTTGTCAGATATACTTATTACAGATATCTACTTTTATTCTGAAGCTTATGTTTTTACTCTCTTATAATTGTCTTTTTTTTCTTTTTTGAGACAGAGTCTTACTCTGTCGCCCAGGCTGGAGTGCAGTGGTGCGATCTTGGCTCACTGAAAATTTGCCTCCTGAGTTCAAGCGATTCTCCTGCCTCAGCTTCCCAAGTAGCTGGGATTACAGGCTTATGCCACCATGCCCAGTTAATTTTTGTATTTTTAGTAGAGATGGGGTTTCACCATGTTAGCCAGGCTGGTCTCAAACTCCCGACCTCAGGTGATCTGGCCACCTTGGCCTCCCAAAGTGCTGGGATTACAGGCATGAGCCGCCGCGCCTGACCTTATAGTTGTCTTTTGGTTACAAAAGTTTTTTATTTTAATGCACTTCAATGATCAATTTCTTCTTTTAGTGTTAGTATTTTCTATCCTGTTTAAAACAAAAACAAAAAAATGGAAAAGCTTTTGCCTACCTTAATGTCATAAAGACATTTCCTTTGTTATCTTCTAGAATCTTTATTGTTTGCCATTAAAATGTAGGTCTGCATTTTACCTGAAATTCATTTTTTTGTGTTAGGTGTGAGATGGGGGCAAGGATGGACAGGATTCATTTTTTCTTTTTAAAAAATTGATCAAGTGCCATTTGTCAAAAATACTTTCCCTGAGTATGTTAGCAATAACTTTATTATAAATGTACTGCCTACATATTCATGGACATATTTCTGGACTCTTATTCCAGGAATCTATTTATTTACCCTTGCATCAATGATGCATGACTAAGTAGTGAACATTTAGAAGAAATCTTAATATCTGGTAGTGTAAATCTTTTAGCTGTGCTCATCTTTTAGATTCTTTTAGTTAGTCTTGTTCCTTTTTATTTCCATAAAAATGTTAGAATCTGCTTGTTAATCTCTACAATATGTAATTTGCTGGGATTTTGATTGAGATGGTATTTTGGGAATACTGATATCTAATCTATAAATGCATTATAATTCATACTTATTTTATTCTTCTTTAATCAGTAATATTTTATAGTTTTCTGCACAGTGGACTTGCATACTTTTTGTTAGATTCATTTCTACAATTAGATTTTTTAATGCTCTTGTAATTGGTATCATTTTAAGTTTTATTTTCTAAATGTGTATTGTTACTATATAAGAAAACAATTCATATCTATCTATCTATCTATCTATGACACAGAGAGAGAGAGAGAGTCAGAAAGAGAGAGGAGAGAGAGAGATTCACCTTGGCCAGGAATCTTGCTAAATTTACTTATTAATTCTATTAGACTTTGTGGGTTCTTTTGAATTTTTTATAACACAGTCATGTTTTCTGTGAATAACTACAGTTTTATTTCTACCTTTTCATTCCATATAACTTTAATTTATAAGTGTTTTTGACTTGTTGCACTAGCTAGGACCACTTGTGTGCACTAGCTAGGACCACTAGTATAACATTTGTTCTAGGTTTGGTTTTTGCTTTTTTGAAAATTGTAAATTTCCTGTATCCACTAGAGAATTTCTCTTCAATTCGTGAGTTTGCTGAGTTGGTGTTGTTGTTTTATGTGTGTTTCTGTGTTGTCTGTTTTGTTTTTTTTTTAAATCATAAGGAATATTCACATACATTTCTGGATCTATTGAGATCATAGGATTTTTGTTATTTAATTAATTTATTTTTGAATGTTAATCCACCCTTGCATTCTTAGAATAAACCCTACTTGATGTTATATTATCCTTTTCATAGAGAATTTGATTTTCTTAATATTTTCTTTAAGATATTTCTATTTGCATTCAAAAGAGAGATTAGCTTGTAATTTTACCTTCTCTTAATGTTCTTGTCAGGTTTTCTTTGCATAGTTATATTATTCTCATAAAATGAGTTCGGATGTATTCCCTCTATTTCTACCCTTGGAAGAGTTGTATATGATTGGTGCTATTTTTTTTTCATTAAATTTTTGAAATAATTTACCTGTGAAACTATTTGAGTCAGAAAGTTTTGTGGAAAGACTTTTTTATTTTATCTTTTATTTGTGTAAAATTATGGTGTACAATTGTAATTTTGTTACATAGATATATTGCATAGTGGTGAATTCAGAGCTTTCAGTGTATTCATAACCTGAATAACACACATAGTACCCATTAAATAATTTCTCATATCCACCCCCTTCCTCCTCACCCTTCCCAGTCTCCATTGTTTATCATTCCACCCTCTATGTCAATGTGTACACATTAGGTAGCTCCCACTTATAAGTGAGAACATAGGACATTTGTCTCTGTTTCTGAGTTATTTCACTTACAATAGTGGCCTCCACTTCCATTCTTATTGCTGCAAAAGATGTGATTCCATTCTTTTTTATAGCTGGATAGTATCCTATTACATATATATTTCACATTTTTAATCCAATCATCCATTGATGGACATTTAAGTTGGCTCCATATCTTTGCTATTGTGACTAGAGCTGTGATAAACATATGAGTGTAAGTATATTTTTGGTATAATAATTTCTTTTTGGGGGTATATACCCAATGGTGGGATTGTTGGGTTAAATAGTAGATCTATTTTTGGTTCTTTGAGAAATCTCCATATTGTTTTCTATAGTGATTGTAGTAATTTACATTCCCACCAACAGTGTATAAGCGTTTCCTTTTCTGCAATTGCTTGCCAAGATCTGCTGTTTTTGGTCTTTTTAAGTAATAGCTGTTCTGAGTAGTCTGAGATGATCTCTCATCGTGATTTTAATTTACATTTCTTTGATTAGTGATGTTGAGCTTTTTTTTTTATATGTTTCTTGGCCATTTGTATGTCTTCTTTTGAAAAATGGCTATTCATGTCTTTTGCCCACGTTTTGATAGGATTATTTGTTTTGTCGTTGTTATTTAGTTTGAGTTCCTTGTAAGTTCTAGATGTTAGTCCTCTGTCTGATTGATAGTTTGTACATATTTTCTCCCATTCTGCAGGTCATCTGATCACTCTTGATTATTTCTATTTCTGGGCAGAAGCTTTTTAGTTTAATTAAGTACCATTTGTCTGTTTTTGTTTTGGTTTCTTGTGCTTTTGGTGTCTTATTAATGAATTCTTTCTCTAGACCAGTGTCCAGAAGAGTTTTCCAAATCAAATATTCATGTCTTTTAAAAGACGTAGTACTATGAAGGATTTCCATTTCTTCTTGTGTCCATTTTGGTAATATGTGTTTTTCAGGGGATTTATATGTTTCATCAATTTTTTCAAGTTTATTGATGTAAACTTGTTCACCAGATCTTATTATCTTTGTACTATGTCTGTAGCATCTGTAACAATACTCCATTTTTTCATTCCTGTTAAGGTTATTTGTCCTTTTTCATCTTTGAAATTTGTGTTTCTAGAAGACTACTGCTTATATTTGTCTTTCTTTACCAAAAGACCCCAATTTTTGACTTTTATCAAGTTTATCTATTGCTTTATTTGAAAGTATTTGATGTATTTTATAATACTTATTTGTTATTAATTTTGAGCTTAATTCAATTACGGTCAGAGAAGATATTCTATATGATATAAATACTTTGAAAATTTATTGAGGCTTGCTATATGACTCAGTTTAAGGATACTTTTGGTGCATGCTCTATGTGCACCTGCAAATATGTGTACTTTGTTGCTATTGGGTGCAGGATTCTGTACATATAAATTAGATCAAATTTGCTAAATCTTGGTGTTCAAAACTTTTATTTATCTACCAACTTTTTACCAAGTTCTATCATTTACTGAGAGAAATATGTCAAAATTTTCTAACTTGATTGTGTATTTGTTTATTTCACCTTTTAGTTTGGTCAATTTGTACATTTTAAGCTTATGTTATTGGTTTGTACAAATTTGGAACTGTGATATCTTCCTAGTAGATTAACTAGTATTATTTAATGCTCTTCTTGTACTATTTCTTTTCATTCTACTTAGACTGATATTATAATGTATAGTGATATTAGCCTTCTTTTCGTTGGTGTTTGGTAAATTTTTTTTAGCACTTTTCCTTTCACATTTTCTGTATACTTACTTTTAAGGTATGTGTCCTGCAAATAGCATATTATTAATGGTGATTTTTAATTCAAAGTCTGACATTGTATTTCAATGCAACTTTTTAAATTTACATTAACTGCACTTGCTAATATTTGTTGATTTAATTCTATCATCTTACTGTACTTTTCTATTTTTTCTACCAATTTTATGTTTCCCATTTCTTCTGTCTTAACTTTTTTTATTAATCAACCTTGTTATTTCATTTGCCCCTCTTTTAACTTGCTAATTACGTATTTTTAATTTTTCTTAGTGGTTACCCTAATGAGCTCTACTGTAACTTACACCTTTTATCTCTTTTCAATGAATAATTATATTTGTCCCTCTCTCATTTTTTGTCTTATCATTGTCCTGAATTATAATTCTTCAAGTGCTCTAATTCCTAAAACATTATTTTTATTATTTTTCTATACTTATACGCATACTAATCTTGTCTGTGTACTTTATTTTTTGCATTTCTCTATCATTGTCTGAGATGCTTTTCCTTTTACTTGAAAGATACCTATTAGTATTCTTTATAGTATGAATCTTTCGGTGAAATATTTCCGCAGTTTTGTTTTTCTGAAAATATTCTTATTTTGACTTTTTAAAAGAATACTTTCATTGGTTAGAGAATTCTACGTTGGTATTTACTTTTTTGTGTATATATATGTTTTGCTTTATTTTTATTTTACTTTTGATTGACAATTATATATATTTATGAGATACAGTGTGATGTTCAGTATATGTTTACATTGTAGAATTAATAAATCAAGCTAATTAGCATCCATCACCTCAAATAATTATCGTGTTTTTATGGTAAGAACATTTAAAGTATACTTTCAGCAGTTTCAAAATATATAATACACTCTTATAAATTATAGTGATCATGCTGTGCAGTATATCTCTAAAACTTATTCCTCTTGTCTAGCTGAAACTTTGTGCTTTTTGAATAACATCTCCCCTTTCTTCATCACCATCCAACACTCAGCCTCTAGTAACCACCATTTTACTCCCTGTATCTATGGCCTTTTTGGATTTCACACTTAAGTGAGATCATGCAGTATTTGTCTTTCTGTGTCTGCCTTATTTCACATAACATAGTATCTTCCAGGTCCACGTATGTTGTTGTAAATGACAGGATTTCTTTATTTTCTAAGGCTGAATATTATTCTGTTGTGTGTATTTAACACATTTTCTTTATCTGTTTTTATGCTGATGCCACTTAGGTTGCTTCCGTATCTTAGCTATCGTGAATAATGCTACGATGAATGTGGGAGAGCAGATATCTCTTCAACATACTAACGTCAGTTCCTCAGGATATATATCCTGAAGTCAAATTACTGGATCATATGGTAGTTATATTTGTAGTTTTTGAAGAATCTTCATATTGTTTTTCATAATGGCTGTACCCAATTTGCATTCCTACCAACAGTGTATGAGAGTTTCATTTTCTCCAAATTCTTGCCAACCCTTACTGTCTTTTAACTTTTTGAAGGTAGCCTTTCTAACAGGTGTGAGGTGATCTCATTGTGGTTCTAATTTGCTTTTCCTTAATGATTAGTAACGTTGAGCATTTTTTCATATATCTGTTGACCATTTTTATGTCTTCTTCTGAGAAATGTGTGTTCAGATCTTTTACTCATTTTTTAATCAGGTTATTTAGTTTTTTGCTGTTGTTTGGGTTTCTTAGGTTGGTAGTTACTTTTTAAAAGCATTTTAAAGATATCATGGCTTTGTTCTCTGGCTTCAATTGTTTTTCATGAGCAATCAGTTATCAGACTTACTAATCCTTACAAAGTAATGCATTTTTATTTTTCTGGCTATTTTGAGATTGCCTTTTTGATTATTGTTTATTTTTAAATAGTTTTACAAACAGGCTTTTTTTTTTTTTTTGTAGTTGGTTTCTTTGTGTTTATCCTGCTTGGGGTTCTTAGACATTCTTGAATTTGTGGCTTGATGCTTTTGCCAATTTTGGAAAATTCTTGGCCATTATTGCTTTGAATTTTGCTTCTGCCTATTCTCCTTACCCTTTCCTTCTGGGACTAGAGATATTTGTATGTTAAAACATTTTTTAACCATGTTCTATATATCTCTAATGCTTCTTCTTTTATTATCATCCTTATTTCTCTCTTTGTTTTATTCTGGATATTTTCTATTAACCTATTTTCAAGTTCACAACTTGGATCTTCTGTTGTGTCTAACTGGCTGCGATTGAGTTATTAATTTTGTTTTATTTTTAGTTCTAGAATAATCTTTGGGTTTTTAATATAAATCCCAGTTCTCTGATTATTCTCACTCTTTTCCTTTACCTCTGAAACCATATTTATCACTGTTTTTAAAAGACTATATCTGATAATTCTTTAATCTGTATCATTTTTGAATTTATGTTTTTGTCTATTATTTTTTCTCTTTGTTTTGGTTCTTTGATTCTACTTCCTAGCATGCTTGATGATTTTTTCATATTAAAAATTTAGAGTGTTTTGTATGGTATTATATTTTTCCATGGGGATTTAATTTTCTCCTCACAGATTATTAGAATAAAGGTAATTTACTTAATCTTATCAGGGATTAAGACAATTTGAAGTTGGGTTTCCATCTTTGTGATGGCTACTCTAGTTATGGTTTTCCCTTAGTTTTATAAATAGTCATTTAGAGGTTCAAATAAAATTTTGGAGTGCTTTTCAAGTAGTCACTAAACTCCAGTTTTTGCTTCGTTGGTATAAGACTACTGAATATTCTTTTTAATGTCCTAGTATTTAGGTTGCTGTTTTCTGCTTGTTTCTCTTTTGATTTTCTCACTCCAAGAAAGAGGAACTGGAAATGTTTTAGGGGTTAAAAGTGGAAAAAGAATACAGGCCTCACCTCATTGCATTTACAGTTTATCCAGGATCTTGATTCTTCATGTCTTGGCTGTGCTGACAGCTCCAAAGTGTTATTTGTGCCCTCCTCTCTTTACAAGACTTCTTAATGTTCTAATCTGGAGCTTTGTGCTCAGTCTCGCATTCTGTTCTACTTAGGAAACAGCAAATGCCTTGAATTTGAAAAGTAATAAACAACATAGGGCTTACTTTAACGTGTTTACTTCCTTTATAGACTATTGAGTTTTAAATTGAAATTACTTTGGTTGGTGCCTGGTGCCTTCAAACAGTTTTTAAAATAATTTCATTTTATTCATCTTTAATAGTTTTTCTCAACGAGGGGGTGATTTGATATAAGCTACTCTATCACAGTAGAACTGGAGTTCTTCTTATGATGCTAATTTGATTGACATGATATTTGAGGGAGGGTGGTAGTTGAGCACTATGTTTCTTTACAAAGTAACTTCTGCAGACATACCTCCTTTTCCATATGTGTTTTATACTCCCCTCTATATGAATTTCTTACAAATATTTGAATGTATATATTATTCTTTAAGTATTTAAGAGTACAAAAAGTTTATTTGCCTTGTATAAATTGATTAATCTTTATTTGAATGCTTATAGTAATTTCTCTAGCCAAAACTATACTGTTCTGATATTGAAAAATCACCAAAAATAACATTATTTATAAAAGACAGTTGGTTATCCCTGATACAAAGGAAATTTTGTAATTTACATGATTACATGCATTCTGAGAATCCAAATAATACTGATAGACTAGGAGGCTATAACGAAATTATTTATTAAACTGTGACTAATGCTTAACTGTGTCATAATGGTGCTAGGTTCCTTTCACAAGGGGTAAAGGAATTTATAAGGGGAAGTCAGTATTATTTAAAAACTCTGATTTATGTATATCTTGTGATAGTAGTGAATAACTAGGCATAGACAGTACTTTTGTACATGGGGTATAAACAGTTTTCAAAGTTATTTTGATTTGTTAATTTTTTTCCTGAAATATTGTCACCTCCCTGGGTAATGTGATAAACCATGTGTAATGTAATATTTGGTTAGTAAAACAAGCATCAGCAGATAAATATCAGTGTTTGTCTTAGGAGATGCAATACTGGAAACCTGGATAAAACGAAACAGTTTTAATAAAACTTGAACAGTGTGGACCTGGGTAAACACACCTATTTGGACAACGTAGAGATTGATTTATTGTTACTAACAATCTATTATATTTTACATTGGTGGTAGTATCAAAAGTTAAACACTTTCTGAAACAACAAATGAAAAATAAAGAAAACTACCAATTTATTATTCCAGAAGCTATAGAGTCTTTAGATATCTTTTGACTTACATTCACTTTTGCCCTGCTCATCAGAGACATATCTTTTTTTCTAACATCTCAATTGTTTATTACATGCCCGCTTACCAGGTGTCTGTTATGGTTGGTGAAAATTTACGGTCCTAAGTGTGTTTTAACAGAATTTAGGAAAACATTGCAAATCATGAATTCTATTGATTTGAAAGCATTTTAAAAACCTGAAGTAGGAGTCTAGCTCCAGTTAAATGTTATTGTTGGGTCAGTCTCTTCTTTGTACTCTAATTTTCTCTTTCACAAAATGGGACTTGTAAAACATTTATGTTAGTTTCTCAAAGTCATTATAAGAACTAAATGAAGAGTAGTATGTGAAAATCTTTTCCCAAGGTAAAAACTGTTATGTAAAGGTAGCAGATTATTATTGTTATCCCCATCATTATTAGTGCTGATTAGCAGATGACTTTAGCCCTGCACAGATGCATGAAACAGTTTTGATGAAACTTTTCTCTAGTTTTCCAGGTGATAAATATGAGGTATGCCCTCCTGTCTGTAACTTACTGACATCCTTTGTATTTTTATTTTTGTTATTTTATTTCTTTTTAAAAATGACACCAAATTCGCTCTGTGGATTTTAGGAGATCAATCTGGTAACGGGCTTGGATTAATTCCTTCATCAGTAACAATGAGTTATAAATTCAGTGAATTTAACAAACCGGGAAAGGATTCCATCTTATTAAGAATAGGCAACCTAAGGTCCCTGAATGCATTTCTTTCATTGTTGAGTAGAGGAGCAATAGGCTCCTTTGGAACAAACTTACTGAATTATAAAGAGGAAATGGTTTATCCTTGAACCATTATGAAATTCAGGCAATGGATGATATTTACCCAAGGCCAATATTGTAACATAAACCGAAAATACTAACTCCTTTAAAGCAATGTGCATTATTTTAATTCATGTAATCATTAAATTAATTACTTACAGATCACAGATCATTTATTGATGGATTTTAAAGGAAAAGAAATATGCATAAGCTGAATAAGAAGATTAAGAAGATAGGTATGCATTATATCAGAATGTCCTTCAAATAGACCTGGAAAACACGTTTGTCTAATTAGGGTGCATGACAGCAATCTATGAAACTAGTTCTTTTAAGTAAATAGAGGTCTACCCTGAGAGGGTTTGGCAAACTATAGTAGGAATGGGATACTTTCCAAAAAAAAAAAAATCAGAAATGAATGAATAATTCCTCCTTTCTTAGTTTATATGAATTAATCAAATTGCAATTACATTGTCACTTATGTGCATAGTGAAGAGAGTCTGAAAAGGCAATGAAATGCACTGTATTTAATGGACAGGTATCTTTAGGACATGGGACATATGGGCTTAAATTATGCACTTTCTATAAACAATTCTAGAATAGAGGGCCAAAACATACCCTTTCTCATTTTACACTGTGACCTTTGATTTGCTTGCACAGTACCTGGCATATGGTGACTCTCAAACTGTTTAATCACATGTTGAAAAAATGAATGCACTAGTGAACACATACTTACATACACAGAAGATACTCCTTACAATGATGGTGAAACACCTATACTGAATAGTCATAGAAGAGCATATGAAACATCAGTTTTCATTTAAAAACCCAATGCTACAATGAAAATAAAAACATTCCCTTTTCCTTTCCCATCTTTGGCTTTGTTCAATGTTATGTTGGAGCCATGAAGCTGTTTTCCAGAATTTGTTTTTAGAGACTGGGTCTTGGTGTGTCACCCAGCCTGGAGTGCAGCGGCACAATAATCACTCACTACAGCCTTGAACTCTGGGCTCATCGAGTAATCCTCCTGGCTGGGCCTCCCAAAGTGCTGGTATTGTAGGAGTGAGCCACCACACCTAGTCCCAGAATTATTAAGACAGTATTCTTCAGATATTTTTATTGTCTTCTTTGTTTTCTCTTCTATAGCTTCATATTTCCCCTGCTTACTTCGACTCTAAATCATTTTAACTATTTTGCTTTTTTGCCTTTTTATTTTGAATGCTTCCTTCCCTCAGCTAAAGGTCATAAATTTTAATAAAGAAAATTTGGAAAATTCAAAAATGCAAAAAAACTTCCTATTACTACCATATTGGTTTATTTTCTGCCAGTCTTAAAATATGTATCTTTTCAAAGCTTTTAATTTTAAAAGTTATACCATATTTTATCTCTATTTTCAATTTTACTTAAAATATAAGTTTTCCATTGTAATAGCCACAGCATTTTTGGTAAAGTAGACATACTATAGCTGCTTAATCAATCCTTATGCTTGGACATTTAAATTGTTTCTATCCTTTCAATTATTTTTTAAAAGACTGCGATGAGCATCTTTGTTCATAAAGCTCTTTATCATTATTATTTTGGTATTTAGATTGCTTCCTTGAGATAGATTCCTAGAACGGGAATAAAATCATATGTATACAAGTGTCTTTCTCAGCTCTGTTTTCAAGAGGAGCTTTTGTAGAGAGCATAGATAATTGACAGCCTCCAGCTGCTATACCTGTGGATCCACCACAACATTCACCCTGAAACCATCCTTCTTTGGGGCTGCTTCCACCGAGTGACTGAACATGTCAGGAATACCAGAACGGGGACATTTCTGCCCAATACTAGATTCTTCTAATGGGTAACTCTGGTTCAGGGACTCCCTACCAACATGGCTGAGACTTTCTTTTTTGTATGGTTTAAGGAATAATGAGAAGGAAAAAACTCTGTACATGTTCAGTACAGATGCAACTTCTTTTTCTAGAATTTTTTTTTTATTATACTTTTAAGTTCTGGGATATGTGTGCAGAATTTGCAGGTTTGTTACATAGGTATACATGTGCCATGGTGGTTTGCTGCACCCATCAACCTGTCATCTACATTAGGTATTTCTCCTAATGCTATCCCTCCCCTACTTCCCCACCACCCGACAGGCCCCAATGTGTGATGTTCCCCTCCCTGTGTCCATGTGTTCTCATTGTTCAGCTCCCACTTATGAGTGCGAACATGCGGTGTTTGGTTTTCTGTTCCTGTGTTAGTTCACTGAGAATGATGGTTTCCAGCTTCATCCATGTCCCTGCAAAGGAGATGAACTCATCCTTTTTATGGCTGCATAGTATTCCATGGTGTATATGTGGCACATTTTCTTTATCCAGTCTATCATTGATGGGCATTAAAGACTTAGACGTAAGACCTAAAACCATAAAAACCCTAGAAGAAAACCTAGGTGATACCATTCAGGACATAGGCATGGGCAAAGACTTCATGACTAAAACACCAAAAGCAATGGCAACAAAAGCCAAAATGACAAATGGGATCTAATTAAACTAAAGAGTTTCTGCACAGCAAAAGAAATTATCATCAGAGTGAACAGGCGACTTACAGAATGGGAGAAAATTTTTGCCATCTATCCATCTGACAAAGGGCTAATATCCAGAATCTATAAGGAACTTAAATATTTTATTTTATTTTTATTTTTTTTGAGATGGAGTCTCACTCTGTTGCCCAGGCTGGAGTGTAGTGGCACGTTCTCGGCTCACTGCAAGCTCCGCCTCCTGGGTTCACGCCATTCTCCTGCCTCCACGCCATTCTCCTGCCTCAGCCTCCCAAGTAGTCCCAGACTACAGGCGCCCACCACCACGGCCGGCCAATTTTTTTGTGTTTTTAGTAGACATGGGGCTTCACCGTGTTAGCCAGGCTGGTCTTGATCTCCTGACCTTGTGATCCACCCGCCTCAGCCTCCCAAAGTTCTGGGATTACAGGCGTGAGCCACCGTGCCCGGCCAGGAACTTAAACAAATTTACAAGAAGAAAACAAACAACCCTATCAAAACGTGGCTGAAGGATATGAACAGACACTGCTCAAAGGAAGACATTTACGGCTGGCCGCAGTGGCTCACTCCTGTAATTCCAGCACTTTGGGAGGCCAACGCAGGCTGATCACGAGGTCAGGAGGTCCAGACCATCCTGGCTAACATGGTGAAACTCTGTCTCTAATAAAAATACAAAAAATTAACAGGATGTGGTAGGATGCGCCTGTAGTCCCAGCTACTTGGGAAGCTGAGGGAGGAGAATCACTTGAACGCGGGAGCCGGAGGTTGCAGTGAGCCGAGATTGCGCCCCGGCACTCCAGCATGGGCAACAGAGCGAGACTCCATCTAAAAAAAAAAAAGAAGAAGAAGAAGAAGACATTTATGTCACCAACAAACATATGAAAAAAAGCTCGTCATCACTGGTTATTAGAGAAATGCAAACCAAAACCACAGTGAGAAACCATCTCAAGCCAGTTAGAATGGCGACCATTAAAAAGTCAGAAAACAACAGATGCTGGAGAGGATGTGGAGAAATAAGAACGCTTTTACACTGTTAGTGGGAGTGTAAATTAGTTCAACCATTGTAGAAGACAGTGTGGCGATTCCTCAAGGATCTAGAACCAGAACTACCATTTGACCCAGCAATCCCATTACTGGCTATATACCCAAAGGATTATAAATCCTTCTGCTATAAAGACACATGCACACATACGTTTATTGCAGCGCTATTCACAATAACAAAGACTTGGAACCAACCCTGGCTGAGACTTTCTCAGGACTTTCCTGCATGCAGATCTCTTCCTACCAAATGCTTCCTTGCCTTTCTCCTTTCAGAGATGTCAGAATTGCATCATAGTCTGAGTGCTCTCCTTACCTACACCTCTTCCCCTTTATCATGTATAGATTCTACCCCAAATAATTATCTCACATACCCAATTCACCTTGGCACAAGAGGACCCAAACTGGCACAGTACATAATCATGATTCAGGCCCTTGATACATAGTGCTTAATGGTACTAATGTACACTCCCACTGCAGTGCCTCTTCCAACACTGAATTTTTCTTTTATTGACTTTAACTGATCTGATAGGTGAAAGACTAGTATCTCACTTTTAAAATTTCTATTACCTTCATCACTAGTGAGATTGCACATGCTTTGTTTTCCATTTATATCTATTAAAATTTGTTTTACTAATTTATCCATTCATTAAAAAACTTTACTTATAATTAATAGTTATAATTATAATACTTCTTTTTGTGGCATTTTTGACCGTGTATTTGAATGAGGGTCTCATTCAATACTTATCTACCAGTGTTTGGAGTAAAGTATGTATGTGGAACAAATGTAATGATTACTCATTTACTCAGGCTAAACTAAAACCCTGGATGGTATTTATGATTTGCCAGCAGCAGTAGTGGCAGAATCCACATCTCCTGACTCTCAGGAAAGACAGACAGTTTTAACATTTCTGTAATTATATTGCATACGTGTGTGTGCGCATGCATGTGTGCGTGCATGCATGTGTGCATGCATCAGTGTGTGTATGAGTTTGCAGTGTTTTTCCAATGAGAGGTGAAGCTTAAAATTCCTTAAGTTGTATTTTATTAATTTCTTTTAACAATCTTGTTTTTTTTCTTCTGTATTTCCTCCATTATTGTGTTTCCTCCACTATTGTTTTTCCACCTTTATTTCCAAGGTGTCCTGATCATCTGATTCCTATCAGGTATTTAAATTATGCAGGTGCCAGTCTCTGTGTCCCCAAACACACATAGCTAATCAAGAATAAAGCCATTTATTGTAAATTTACCTCTAGAATGAGCCCCCCTTTCTCTGATTTTGAGGATGGATAGATGCTCATTATGATCTGGTAGGCAATTATAACATGCACATTTAGAGTGTAGAAGAGTACTCTGTGTTAGGTGTTAAGACTTTTATTTTACTCATTTAAAGACAAAGATTTAAATGTGCTTGTTTAAATTCAACAAGCCCTTAGAGCCATGAGGCCTTGGGGGTAAGAGGTGCTTAAAACCAAATAGCACAGGAGCTGAAGAAGTAATTATATGCCAGATTGAAGATGGAGCTGAACAAAGACTGAGCTGATCTGGGAACAGGGGATGGCAAACTGAATTATGTCCCAGGTATCCACAGGCCGAGAAAGCAGACTGGAAAACATGCTTCTTCATACATTTTACCAAAGTTTACAAAATGCAGTAATTTTCAGATGGTTTACTAATCTTATTTACCCTTCTTTTCTGCATTTTTGCTTTAACCTAATTTTTTTTAAAAAAGAAAATCTTAATTGGAAGGATGTTTTGAGTCAAGAATACGACACTTCATAATGTAACATATATTCTGGATTCAAGGTGGCAGGTAATAAAAAATAATTGGAGTGGAATTTCAATGTCTTTATTTCCCTGAAGACCAGCCTTGAAGAGCTTCCTCAAGTGTGTCTCCTCTTCCTAAAGGTAACATGGTGGGGAAGGGAGAAGGTAGGAATTACTCTGACAAGATTTTAGTTGTTCTAAATCAGTGTGATTAATTTTATCTTAAAGACTTAAAATGTCCCATATTCCCTAGTTGCCAAGAACATGGTAGGGAGGAGGCAAAGTACACATTCTTTGTTTCAAAGTATTTTGCAGACAGTCTGGTCTATTAAGAACAAATTCTAGGACTAGGTAGTAGGGCTTAGAAGTTACCATGACCCAAATTGATTTTTTCATTTCTCTTAAAGTTGATGGTTCATTTTTTGATGAAAGTAGCAATCATATCTATAAAAACCAATTTTGATAGGCCTATCAAATCTGACCATAAAACAGAAAGCTATTTTACATTCTACAAACATATTATTAAATAAGCTCACTGTGAGTATACAAGTACTGTATGCATTTTTACTTATGAAAATCTTTTTAAAACTGAAGAAATTTTGAAACTTTTGTGATGATAATTAACAATTATATGTTAAAAGCCAGTATGGAAGCCTATTTTGTCATAACATTATAACAAGGCAACAAGTTTTAACTGAACAATGGATTCCTGAGCTTCTAAGCAAATGCATTTTGACGTGTTATTTTTCACTATATGCAAATTTAGAAGAGACTCAGTTTATCATGACCTGTATGATACCTCTTAGAATGTTAAAAAGAAAAAAAAAGATAGAAAGAGGAAGGGCCACAGTACACATAAATCTTGCCTGCAGCTTCCACTAAAGTTACTCTGGAAAGTAACTTAAGGAAAAGAGATGATTAATTAATTTATTTAAATTTGGTGCTATTTGTTAATCCACAGCTATGTTCTAGGCACAGATACTATGGTTCAAAAATATATAAGGCAAATACCTGATTTGGAGGAGCTTATTTTCAGTGGGAGGTAAAGGAGGAGGAAAAGGATATCAGAAAAAGGAATGAGCGATTTCAGAAAAGAGCAAAGTGCTGTGGCAGAGGTAAGCATAGATTTGAGGAATCGTGGGCAGCAAAGTAAAGAAGGCTTTCCTGAAGAGGTCGCAGGTAAGTGGAGGTCTAAAAGATGAAGAGGACTCTGCCAGGGCAGAGTCTAGAAATGGGGAAAGTTGGGGAAGGTACATTTTAGGCAGTAGGAACAATGCTTGGTGCAAAGATCCATAGGTGTAGGGTTTCAACAGATCTATAACTCGATGAGATTCATGCATTAGGGACCTAAGAGAGACAGAAAAGGGCAAGTACATAATGGGTTCTTGTATTCTAAGGTGGGGTATTCCAGAGATGGAGAGGTGCTGGATTAATGCTGCATTTACCTTGACCCTTTCCTGTGGTATTAGTAGGGAAGGAAGGAAGGATGATTCTGAATGCAGTGCAATGGAGGTAGCAAAAAATTGATCTGATGACCTTTATTTTCTCATTGGGATAGAGAGCATATTGCTTTGCTGATACCGAAGGGGGAGGGGTAGGTGGAATAGAAGATTTAATAAAAGTGGGAAGTTTTGAAATAGATGTAAAATATACTAAAGTAAACAGATGATTAGGGAAACTTGGAAGGATTATTAAGTAACATTTGGGACCCAGCTAAGTTTGGGAGCTGTAGATGTGTAGTGGTTATAATCTGTGAGTGTATGTGACCCACTTTAGCTGTTGCAGTTCTAGGAGTGGAGAAAGCAGATAGCTGGACTGCTCTAGGCCTGGGTTTTCACCTATGTTGACGCTCTTCCTGTTTCCTTCCACCACTCACCTCTTGTCACAGAAGACTGCTTATTCCTGATACTGTGACTGTCTGCCTGAAGGCATTTTTTGTGTGTGGCTGCTGAGCAGATTTGGCTCACAGTGTTGGGCAGGCTTAAAGTACCAAATAGTTACTGTCACTAGAAAAAGACTTAAGCAAATAACTGTTAGCAAGTGGGTGGATTACACTATCATCCTTACCCTTCACATGGGATAACTGTGAGGCATGTTCTTTACTGTTTTCCAGAGTATCCCAGAAGGACTAAACTCATTTCCCATAGCAGTAACTTGTTTAATAATTGTACCCTTTTTTGGCTTTGTCCCTGTTTCATTTATGGCTGTGTAACAAACTACCCCCAAATACAGGGACTTAAAACAACAAAGATTTGTTATTTTTTACAAATCTTTGGGGTGCCCAGGCTTAGATTAGTAATAGCTTGGGTCACTCATGTAGTTGCACTTGACTGGAAGCCTGTCTGGGTCAGGAATGACTATGATGGCTTTACTTATGGGTTTTAGGCCTCAGTGCAATGTATAGAATGGCTGGGGTCTGTCTGGGCCTGTCTCTCCCCATTGCTTCTCATCATTCACTAATCTAGTCTGAGCGTCTTTACATGGTATCTGCATCTAAGGAAAGCAAAAGAAGAGGCTGCCAGGACTCTTGCAGCCTTGGCTTAGAACTAGCATAGCATCACTTCTGCTGCAATCTATTGTTCAAAAAAAGGGTGCAAGGTCAGTGCAGATTCAAGAGTGGGGGAAACAAACTCTGCCTCTTGATGGGAAGAGCAGCATGCTAGAGCAAGGCTTTGAGGAACTATTGATGGTTATCTTTGCAAACATTCTATCTTATTTCCCTTTTCTGCCTTCCATCCTTTCTCCCTTACCAGTGTTTCATGGGGTTGTTTCCAAAATAAATTATTTGTACTAAAATTCTCATCTTAGATCTGTACTAAGACAGCTTGGTAAGTGAGATAGGAAAACCAAGAAGTGAACTGAAAGTATTTCTAAGAAAATAGAGTGATGACTTATGTATGGGCTCTGTGCTGGGTGACAAAGACAATGTAAAAGAAATTGCAAGAGCAGAAAGCTAGAGAGGCCTAGGGATTGATAATATCTGTGATGTCAAACAATTGTATATGATAAGTTTGGCAGGGTGAGAAGGCTGGTAGGAAAGGAGACTATGATTCTAGGTCCAGCAGTGGCAGAATGTACCTTGGGAGACTCCAAGAAGCAGAAACCATGGATCAAAGACAAGATTTTGTTGATCAGCCTGTGGACAGGCTACTGCTATCACCTTAGTGAGGCTCACCATTTTTGAAATAAATTCTGTGGATTGGATATTAGGCAAACACTCCTTCAGCTTGCTGTACAGGTTACAGGTGGTTACAGGTGATCCATAACCCTACATCTGAAGAGGAGGTGGCCATTAACACAATCAGTGCAAAGGCCCTGGCAAAGTCAAGTTGCCCAGAAACAGCTTCAGCAGAATTTCCTGCCTACCAGATCTTTATTCCTAAAAAAATTATACTTTTAAAATCTAGGACTTCAACAAAAATAGGATGTCTAGGAATGAAGAAAAGCTTCAGAGTCAGATTGCAATCAAGTTGTGCTACCAGTTAGGTGACGTGTGGCATCACAAAAGCATAAGGATTTTCGAACCTCACTTCTTTTTTGTATTATATGGTGTTAATACCCATTTGATTTAATTTAAAGTTTTTGTATTATTTAAGACTTTCAATGGGTGCTTGCAGTTGGTTGACATTTTTGAAAAAATCAAGTTGTAAACTTTTATTACAAATTAAAAGTGAAGTGCTTAAAAATCTCAACTTGACATATGAACCAATTTAAAAGCTTTTAAAGGCATGTTGAGAAAAACCAAACTAAAAAAAAAACACACAAAAACAACAACAATAAAAACCTTTGTTATTACCAAAAAGACATGTCTGTAGGTAAAAATAATTTTAAAAACCCCATGCTTCGTAGATAATGCAGGTAGTTCTGGTTTCTGATCAATGGGCAAAAAGCAAGCACTTAAGGTCTTCAGCATTTCTTTCCTGCATTTCTCATTGCTGTAATTTCATATTCATTTCTTCTTGTTGGATGATTAAACTGGATGATGGTGGAGATGGTAAACCGGCATTTACTCAACCTTCTTCTGCCTCGGGTGCAGAATTCTTGACTGGTGGACTGGCTGCTGTTGTCTCTTTGCCATGTTGTGGTTTAGGGTTTTCTGGGAGTCTACATAGATAATTGGGGTTTTAGCAGCACCGATGTTGAGGTCGCTGCTGATATTGGGTCTCATCTTGATTTTCTTTACTCTCTTCACTGCCGTCCTCTCTAGGCTGGCTTTGGCGATGAGGTTCCCTGAGGAATCGTGGTCTATAAACCATACAAATATCCTGCCTCACTGGCCTACCTTGTGCTCCTGCACCCCAGTTGTTAGCACCCTCCGTCGCTGCTCCCTGCAAGGAGGGTTAGAATATGGTGGTCAATTTCCGTAGGGTCTCTGCCTGTAGTAAGGCAGGAACCTTCGCCTGCAGCAGGGCCGGCATTGTTGGGCCGAGCCTAAGGGAGCACTCTCCCGTCCTTCGTTCTTTTCTCCACTCTCACTATTCTGGTAATTCTACTGGTAATTGCCTGAGGACCACATGGATAGCGTCAATGATGGTTAAGGTCAGCTGCATACTTACTGCTATCAACTGGACTCTACAGGGGCCTGTAACATTTACTGCCTCCCCACCCTTTTCTGCTGCAACATCATCAAACTCCACAGTCTCTCCGTGTCCTACACTGCTAAGGTACTTCCTGGGGTTACTCTTCTGTATGGTATTCTGCTGTACAACTGCATCTTCCTTGGTGCCATTCGCATAGATGAAACCATTTATTTCTTACATTGAACCATTTTACTGTTCCCAAAATCTTCCTTGCGGTGATCTTATCCCCATCAGCAGGCGCCGCCTGTGAGGTCGCCCTTGCCACTGCTCCCTGCGCCGCTGCAGGTGGTGCCGGCTTGGGGTTGGCTGCCTTGGCGTCTTTGCTCAGGGTTGTGGTTGCTGTGATGGTGACCTGCTGGCTGCAGGGTTGTGGCTCCTTCTGGGGTGACTGTAACTAGGCCGGGGGCGGTGGTGGGGCTGCTCAGGGCTCTCTGGGTTCCGCTCGCCGCTCCTGCTACCGATTGAACTCAAGTTTCAATTAAATAATAAAACATTGTCTAAGTGCCTAGCACAAAATAGGATATAAGGGAATATTATTTCCCTTTTTTCATTTTTTTCTCCTTTATAAAGTAAGATTTATAAACAAGATATAAGGTACCTCGTCTTTCTGCTGTTGTAGCTTGTTTCTGAAGAAGCGCAGCACATGTTTTTCAGTGTACCGTGCCCTGGTGACCTAAAGTTCGCTCCGTTTCCCTTAGCTCTTACTCACTACTTAGTAGTCACTTAGTAGTGATTGCCCAATCTTAGGCAATGTGGTGTTTTGTTTGTTGTTTGTTTGTTTGTTTGTTTAAATGGAAGGCAGGATTTATTTGTGCTTGGAAGGTATTTGGCATTCATATGGATTTTGGCAAGAAACGAGCTTCATCTGAACTCTGTTGTACTCTTATTCATTTTGTTAAAACTGATATTCAAATGATTAGAGTTATATTCAAGTAAGAATAAGGGAAACTTCTACTATATAATTTATGTTTGTAGAATTTTGTGAATCGTAAATTAAACTTGGAAGCTCTTGGCTAAAGAATTTGTCTTTTCATTTCAAAGGAAGGAGTTAAAATACTTATTCTTGTTATTAGCCTGATGATAGATTAATTCACTTATATTGCCTTTTCAAAACAAAATGAAGACCAGTGACACCCAATTCCAAACATTTCACAATTAAATAAAACGATTTAGAAAGCATGCAACTCAGTTTGCACATATGAACTATGTAAGTACCTCTTTATGTGATAGAAGTTGTAAGTAGGAACTGGAATGTAATTTTGTCCTTATCTTCAGGTTTAATTTAGCCTGCCAGAATCTGTAGACTGGTAGAAATTATTACATTTTATAGTAATTTCCTTTTATATTGACATGATCATGAGATGGGAAACTAGAAGAAATTCAGAATTCCTTCATCTATAGTTAAGCTCTTGCTGTGTTGTCATCTTGGAATTCCCTTCTTCCCACAGCAGAATACTCACTTCCTTTCTCTCCTTTCTCACCTCCCCCAGTTGCACAGAATCACCCTTGGGTCCTGGCCTTCTGCCCAGTAGTTGGACCCTATTTTCCAGGTAGGAACATATTGACCTTCAACCGACTGCTAGTTTTCTAGGTCCACCTCTCTGCTTCTGTTTTTTCAGGCTCTCTTAACCATGTAGTAGTCTTTTCTTCCCTGGATAGCACTGATGCACTGCATACTGTGTAGTTGGCCACCTCCTGCAGTGTGATTCGAAATAGCTTAGTGCCCTGCAGGGAGCAAGGCCTGAGGCACAGGACTTTCTGTGTCCCTCTATCATAGTACTTACCTCTTCCTGCAATGCATTATATTATTTATGTATATATGCCTTTTAGTATGTATTTATTCTGGCATATTATAAACTCACTAAAGCAGATACAAAATTCTTTTCTATGAGTGTGTGTCTCACAGAGGACAGTACACCTTGTACCAACTAAGTGCTTAATAAATGTTTATCTGAGTGAATGTAATTCCAGCAAGTTGGAAAGAGCATTGTATTGTTTATCCTGGTTTTTGTTTATTTCTTTGTTTCTAAGTGGAAGTTTTTATAAGAAGATAGATCTAAAGTTCTCAGAATCCTAAACAGTATTGCAGCATCTTTTTCTTGAAATTTACAGCACATTTCTCATTGCTTAATTCTCAAATTTGAAATTACTTTTAACCTACCATTCACAAAATTATCTCACTCACCTGAAGTACAGATGTAAACAAGCTTCTTAACTCTGTAGGTAAGACAACATCAGATGTCAGTTGATGATTTGCTTGAGATTGTGTGTGGGAGTCTACATTTTTAATTTTTTTGCACTTGCGTGAAAGGCATAATGTATCTCTCCTGAAATATTTTCTTTGGGCCTGAGATCTGAGGAATTTGCCAAATTTATTTTTTAGAAATTAAACAAGAATCTTTCCATCATTGAAGAACCTTGAGGTTCTCCATCATTGAAGAACCTTGAGGTTCTCCATCATTGAAGAACCTTGAGGTTCTCCATCATTGAAGAACCTTGAGGTTCTCCATCATTGAAGAACCTTGAGGTTCTCCATCATTGAAGAACCTTGAGGTTCTCCATCATTGAAGAACCTTGAGGCTGCCCTCAGTGACTGCAGCCTTCGACTTAGAAACGGCTAAGCCTGAAATGATGGGGTGTGCCCCGGATGCCTCAGACGACAGATAAAGCTACTCCAGCCAGGAAGACACAGAAGTGGAAGACGGAGATAAAACTGCATGAAACGAAGGGATAAAGTTATGTAGTTATAGAATTTTACACCTGGAAAGCAGAAACCATATGTTCTAGCCTCACATTTCACATGAGTAAACTGAAGCCTAGATAGGTGAAGGGACCTGTCCAAAGTCTCATAGTAGCTTAATGGTGGAACCATACTTTTTGAGAGTTAATTGAGGGTGTTTTTCACTATAACCTAATAGTGTTACATCCAGGGGTATATCAAAGGAGAAAACAGTTTAATGAAATTATTTAAAATGATAATTTTCTTACAGAGATTATATTCTTACTGAGTTTTAAATAAGAGTTTTTTCCTTGCTGTTTGAAGTTACCATGTCCTATAATGCATCAAGTCTGAAAATGCATTTATAAAATAGAGAGGTATGGACTATATTTTTATCTATAAGGTGAATGTGCTTTAGCTTCAGGTTTTTTTAAATTTTACACTTGGATGTGTGCTTATTTTTAATTTAGAAAATATAATTTGGTTGGAAACTTAATTATTGCCAGTTCTTGAGAGAGTTCTTCAATCTTTGAGATGTGGTATGCATTAGTGTAAATCTTGGCATAACTGTGGACATAAATTCTTCAATTGTTTTTTCCTTCTTTGGTTCTGGGATCTGATGAAGAGTGTTGGTTTTGAAACTTTTGAGGCCAGGTATGGTGGCTCATGCCTGTTGTGAAACTAAAAAATCTGAGACAGGTCTCAGTCAATTTAGGAAGTTTATTTTGTCAACGTTAAGGACACATGCCCATGACACAGTCTCAGGAGGTTTTGATAACATGTGCCCAAGACAGTCGGAGCATAACTTGGTTTTATACATTTTAGGGAGGCATGAGACATCAATCAACATATGTAAGATGAACATTGGTTCGGTTCGTAAGGGCAGGACAACTTGAAGCAAAAGCAGGACAACTCAAAGTGGGAGGGGGCTTCCAGGCCATTGGTAGATTAGAAACAAATGGTTGCATTCTTGAGTTTCTGATTAGCCTTGACAAAGAGGCAATGAGATATGCATTTATCTTAGTGAGCAGAGGGATGACTTTGAATAGAATGGGAAGCAGGTTTGCCCTAAGCAGTCCCCAGCTTGACTTTTCCCTTTAGCTTAGTGATTTTGGGCCCCAAGATTTATTTTCCTTTCACACTATAATCCCAGCACTTTGGGAGGCCAAGCAGGGAGGATTGATTGAGCCCCCAGAAGTTCAAGACCAGTCTGGGCAACATAGTGAGACCGTATGTCTACAAAAAATAAAATAGAAAATTAGCCAGATGTGGTGGTGTATGCCTGTAGTCCCAGCTACTCAGGAGGATAGTGTTTGAAATTTCAGTGAGCTATGATCACGTCACTGCATTCCAGCCTGGGTGACAAAGCCTGGGTGACAGATTGATTGTTAGACAATATGAACTATTGACTAACATTTTTTCTGCTTCCAAAACTTTTGGGTATTTGTTATATATAAATTTTACTTGCATTCTTACCTATTTGATGGCATATATTTCTGTAAATGTACTTATTACCTACTTTATTGCCTCTTCATCTGCCTTTGTTCAGCCCTCTCCTAGAAGCAGGAGACATTTTTCTAGTTTTTTGTTTGTTTGTTTTTTATTCAATTTTTATTTGTATCTCTTGGTACTTTTTTAAAGCCTTCTGTTTTCTGTTTCTCTGTAACCTTCTGTTCTCAGGATTAGTAATAATACAAGAGTTTTGCTTCTTGTGTGGAGAAATAAACTTCCAAAAAAACAACCAGCCTGCAGATAGTAGCTATAAACTCTGGACAAAAACCAAAAATAAAAGCAAAGCATAACAAAACACAATACAACTCTGTAAAGGTTTTGGAGAATGGATAAGACTAGAGAAATATTAGAGGAGGTTCAAACTTTGTATTAAGCAAATGTCATGAGATGAAGTGAGTTTCACATTTCTGAGGCTTTTTCTGAGGGCATCTCCAATTGCAGTGGCAACATGGGACAATTTAACTCCAAGAGAAAGCCCTTGCTTTCTCTGTAGGCTGTAGGAACTCTGGGAAGGAACGGGGATGTCAGAGAATGAGGAAAAACATAGGAAAGTAAAGAGACAGAGATGGGATATTGTGTGTATAAATTCTGTCTTAAGTCTTTGTCTGACCCCTGAACTGCACATGCACAGGGCAGACTGAAATCAGTCCACACTGAGATCCAAAAAGCACAAATTTTTCAATATGAGATTAGCCAAATTAATGTCCCATGAGAACAAAGATATTAGCACTCTTTGGCTCAATGTAACACATTGTCCAAGTTAAGGACTCCAAGTCTGGAGTATCCACAATTAACATTGACGATGTCTAAGTTAAAACCCATAATTGGCCAGGCACAGTGGCTCACACCTGTAATCCCAGCACTTTGGGAGGCCAAGGTGGGCAGATCACGAGGTCGGGAGATTGAGATCATCCTGGCTAACATGGTGAAACCCCGTCTCTACTAAAAATACAAAAATTTAGCCAGGTGTGGTGGCGGGCGCCTGTAGTCCCAGCTGCTCGGGAGGCTGAGGCAGGAGAATTGTGTGAACCCAGGAGGCAGAGGTTGCAGTGAACCAAGATCGTGCCACTGCACTCCAGCCTGGCAACAGAGCAAGACTCCGTCTCAAGACAAAACAAAACAAAAACAAACAACCAAACAAATAAAAACCCCATAATTACTTCAACCCAGTAAAATGTTACCCTTTCTTAAGGATAAAGAAAATCAACAGATGACAATCTTAAAATCACCCACATGTTGGAATTACTAGGCAAAAAAATTAAAGCAGGTATTAAAACTGCGCTTTAAGAGATGAAAGGGAATATGGTTGAAATGAACAAAAAGATAGGAAATCTCAGCAGAGAAATAAGAAATTATTAAAAGAACCAAATTGGCCAGGTGCGGTGGCTCACACCTGTAATCTCAGCACTTTGGGAGGCTGAGGGGGCGGATCACAGGGTCAAGAGATCGAGACCATCCTGGCTAACGTGGTGAAACCCCATCTCTACTAAAAATACAAAAATTAGCTGGGTGTGGTGGCATGTGCCTGTAATTCCAGCTACTAGGGAGGCTGAGGCAGGAGAATTGCTTGAACCCAGGAGGCAGAGGTTGCAGTGAGCCGAGATTGCGCCACTGCACTCCATCCTGGCGACAGAGCAAGACTTCATCTAAAAAAAAAAAAAAAAAAAAAAAGAAGAACCAAATGGGAATTTTAAAACAGAGAAATGTATTATATTAAATAAATAAATTAGTAGGATTAACAGTATAATGGAGGAGGGGTTGAAGGAAAAGTCATTGAACTTAAAGATAGATCAATAGAAATTATCTAATCTAAAAAGGAGTGAGAAAAAAGAGTGGATAAAAAATAAGCAGTATCTCAAAAACCGGAAGTACAATTTTATTTATTTTTTATTTAAAAATATTTAATTGACAAAGATTGTATATAGTGAAAGTGTGCATTGTGATTGTTTTATGCATACATTTCTCAGTGATTATCACAATCAAGTTAATTCACACATTCTTCACCACCCATTCTGTACATTAGATCCCTGGAACTTGTTCAACTTATAACTGAAATGTTGTACCCTTTAATCAACATCTCCTTATTTTCTCCACCACCATCCCCTGGCAATCATCAGTCTTTCTGTTGCAATGAGATTCACCTTTTTATAAGATTTCATGTAAGTGAGATCACAGACTATTTGTCTTTCTATATCTTGCTTATTTTACTTAGTATAATGTCTTACAGATTCATTCATGTTGTTGAAAATGACAGGTTTGATTATTTTTATGGCAAAATAATATTTCATTGTGTATATGTACCACATTTTCTTTATTCATTTATCCGCTTTACCCATTGATGGATACTTAGGTAGTTTCCATCTTTTGGGTATTATGAATAATGCTGCAATAATTATGAGGGTACAGATATCTCTTAAAGATACTGATTTCATTTCCTTTGGATATAAACCCAGAAGTGGGCTTGCTGGATCATATAATTATTCTATTTTAAATTTTTTTAGGAAACTCCATACTGTTTTCCATAATGGCTATACCAATTTACATTCCCACCTACAGTGGACAAGTGTTTTCGTTTCTCCACATTCTTGCAGATATTTATCTCTTAGCCCTTCTGACAGGCATGAGGTGATATCTCACTGTAGTTTTGATGTGCATTTCCCTGATGATTATTGATGTTGAGCACTTTTTAATATACTTCTTGCCCATTTGTATGCCTTCTTTGGAAAAATGTCTATTCAGGCCTTTTTCCTATTTTTAAATTGAGTTATTGTTATTATTTTTTTTTGCCATTGAGTTGTGTGAGTTCTACATACATTCTGAATATCAACCCTTCATCAGATATATAGTTGCAAATGTTTTCTCCCATTCAGTAGGTTGCCTTCTCAGTTTTTGTTTCCTTTGCTGTGAAAAAGGTTTTTAGTTTGGTGTAGTTCTACTTTTTTTTATTTTTGCTTTTGTTACCTGTGCTTTTCGTGTCAATATCCAAAAACTCTTTGCCAAGACCAATGTCAAGGAGCTTTGTTTTACAGTTTTGGATCTTACATTTTTAAATTAAAAATTTAAATCTTTAATTCATTTTGAGTTAATTTTTGTGTACAGTGCAAGACAAGGATCCAGTCTTATTCTTTTGCATTTGAGTATCCAGTTTCCCCAAAACCACTTATTGAAGAGAATTTCCTTTCCTTATTGTGTATAGTTGGTGCCCTTGCCAAAGATTAGTTAACCATACAAGTGTGCATTTATTTCTGGGCTCTCAATTCTATTCCATTGACCTAAGTGTCTGTTTTTATGCTGGTACCAAACTATTTTGATTACTGTAGCTTCGTAAGACAAATTGAAATCACAGAGTGTGATGCCTCCAGCTTTGTTCCTTTTCAAGATTGCTATGGCTATCTGTGATCTTTTGTGGTTCCAAACAAATTTCAGGATTGTTTTGTCTATTTCTGTAAAAAATATCATTATAATATTGATAGATTGCATTGAATCTGAAAATGCTTTAGGTAGCATGGGCATTTTAAAAATAGCAATTCTTTCAATTCACGAACGTGCAATATTTTTACACTTGTTTTTGTCTTCAGTTTCTTTCATCAGTGTCTAAGAGTTTTCAGTGTACCAATTCTTCATCAACTTGGTTAAATTTATTTCTTAGTATGTTATTGTATTTGATACTATTGTAAGTGGAATCGTTTTATAATTTGGATATCTGTCCCCACAAACCTCATGTTGAAATTTGATCCCAATGTTAGCTATCAGGCCTAATGAGAGGTGTTTGATCGTGGGGGTAGTTTCCTCATAAGTGGTTTGATGTCCTTCTTGATGTCTTGATGTATTGAGTGATTTCTTTCTCTATTGGTTCCCATGAGAGCCGATTGTTATAAAGAGCCTGGCAGCTCTCTCTTCTTTCTCTCTTGCCTTGTAATCTCCACACACTGGCTTCACTTTACCTTCTGCCATGAGTGGAAGCAGCCTGAGCTCTCACCAGGAGCTGGTGCCATGCTTCTTGTACATCCGGAAAAGCCATGAGCCAAAAAAACTTTTTCTCTTTATAAATTACCCAGCCTTAGGTAATAAGCAATGCCCACAGACTAAGATGGATCTTTTTCTTAATTTCTTAGAGAGTTCTTTATTAATGTAGGGAACTGCAACTAATTTTTGTATGTTACATTGTATCCTGAAACTATTGGGTTCATATATCGTTTCAACAGGTTTTTTTTTCTTTTTTTGCTGCAGTCTTCAGGGTTTTTCTACATATAAGATTATGTCATCTATAAACAGAGACCATTTAACTTCTTCCTTTCCAATTTTTTTCTTGCCTAATTGCTCTGGCTAAGAATTCCAATACTATGTTTAATAGAAATAGTGAGAGTGAGTATGCTTTTTCATTCCTAATCTTAGAGGAAATGCTTTCAGCTTTTCACCACTGAGTATGATGTTTTCTATGGGATTGCCATATTTGATCTTTATTATGTTGAGGTACGTTCCTTCTGTACCAAATTTGTTGAGGCTTTTTATCAAGAAAGCATTGATTTTTGTCAGGTGCTTTTCCCGCACTGTTATCCTTCATTGTGTTAATGTGATGTATCACATTTATTGATTTGTGTATGTTGAACCATCCTTGCATCCCAGAGATAAATCCCACCTGATCATGGTGTATGATCCTTTTAATGTGCTGTTGAATTTGGTTTGGTGGTACTTTGTTGAAGACTTTTGTATCTATATTCATCTAAGATATTGCTCTGTAATTTTCTTTTCTTGTAGCACTCTTTATATATATATATGTGTATATTTATTATACTTTAAGTTCTAGGGTACATGTGCACAACGTGCAGGTTTGTTACATATGCATGCATGTGCCATGTTGGTGTGCTGCACCCATTAACTCATCATTTACATTAGGTATATCTCCTAATGCTATCCCTCCCCCCTCCCCCCACCCCAAAACAGGCTCTGGTGTGTGATGTTCCCCTTCCTGTGTCCAAGTGTTCTCATTGTTCAATTCCCACCTATGAGTGAGGACATGCGGTGTTTGGTTTTTTGTCCTTGCGATAGCTTGCTGATGGTGTATATCCATAAAGCACTCTTATCCAGCTTTGGTATGAGGGCAATGCTGGCCTTGAAATGAGTTAGGAAGTGTGTCATTCTTGTAAACATTTTGGAACTGTTTGAGAGGGATGGGCATTAATTTTTTAAAGCTTGGTAGAATCCGCTCATCAAGACATCTAGTTCTTTTGCCAGGCACGGTGGCTCACACCTGTAATCCCAGCAATTTGGGAGGCTGAGACATGCAGATCACTTGAATTCTGGAGGTTGAGACCAGCCTGGCCAACACAGTGAAACCCCATCTCTACTAAAAATACAAAAACTAGCTGGGTGTAGTGGTGGGTGCCTGTAATCCCAGCTACTTGGGAAGCTGAAGCAGGAGAATCACTTGAACTCAGGAGATGGAGGTTGCAGTGAGCCAAGGTCACACCATTGCACTGCAGCCTGGGTGACAGAGCAAGACTTTGTCTCAAAAAATAAAAGACATCTAGTCCTGGGCTTTTCTTTGATGGGAGAATTTTTTATTACTGATTCAATCTCCTTACTTGCTATTAATCTGTTCCGAATTTTATTATTTATGATGCAGTCTTTGCATCTTATATGTTTCTAGGAACTTATTTTTTACTAAGTTATCTAATCTGTTGGAATGTAATTGTTTAATGTAGTCTTTTTATAATCCTGTGTGTTTCTGTTCTATCATTTTAATTGTCCATTTTCCATTACAAAATTTTAAATTCGAGTCTTCTTTCTTTTTTTCCTTGGGTAATCTAGCTAAAGATTTATCTGTCTTCAAAAAACGAACTCTTAGGTTTACTGATCTTTTCTATTATTTTTCTATTTTCTATTTCATTTATTTCTGGTCTAATTTTTAATATATCCTTATTACTGCTGACTTTGTGCACTTTGTTCTTTTTTTAATTTTTTGAGGTGTGAAGTTAAGTTGTTTGAGATTTTTCTTCTTTTATTAATGTAGGCATTCATTGTTATGTCCTTCCCTCTTGTTGTGTGCCCATTTTCATTTGTTTAAAGATATGCAAGATTTTGGTTTTGATTTCTTCTTTTACACATTGGCTGTTAAGAAGTGTATTATTTAATTGCCACATGTTTGTGATTTTTCCACTTTTATTTTTTCATTTTTAATTTCTCCTTTGATTGATTTCTAATTTTATAATGTAGTCAGAAAAGATACTTGAGATAATTTTAGTTTTTTCTAAATTTGTTAAGATTTGTTCTGTGGCCCAACATCTGATCTATTTGGAGACTGTTCCATGTGCACTTGAGAAAAATGTATATTCTACTGCTGTTGGATAGAATGTTCTATATATGTCTGTAGGTCTATTTGGTCTGTAGTACTTTTAAAGACCACTGTTTCCCTGGTGATTTGCTGTCTATATGATCTATCCATTTTTGAAAGTGGAATATTGAAATCTTTTACTATTATTATACTGGTGTCTATTTTTCCCTTCTGTTCTGTTAACATTTAATTTATATATTTAGATTCTCTAATGTTGAGTGCATGTATATGTGCAATTTTTTATATCCTCTTAATGAATTGACCACTTTATTATCATTTAATGACCTTCTTTGTGTCTTCTGATAGATTTTGACTGATAGTCTATTTTGTCTGATATAACTATAACCACTCCTATTCTCTTTTGGTTATCATTTGAATGGAATATCTTTTCTCATGTCTTCACTTTTTGGCTCTGTATCCTTTCAGCTAAAGTGAGCCTCTTATAGGCAGCATATTGTTGGATTTTACATATTTGTTTTCTGTTGAGCCACTCTTTGTATTTTGATTGGAGAATTTAATCCATTTACATTTAAAGTAATTATTGACAAATAAGGACTTACTATTGCCATTTGTTAATTGTTTACTGACTGTTTTGTAGTTCTTTTTTTTTTTTGAGATGGAGTCTTGCTCTGTCACCCAGGCTAGAGTGCAGTGGTACAATCTTGGCTCACTGCAAACTCTGCCTCCCGGGTTCAAGTGATTCTCCTGCCTCAGCCTCCCGAGTAGCTGGGATTGCAGGTACCTGCCACCGCACCCGGCTAATTTTGTATTTTTAGTAGAGACGGGGTTTCACGAACTTGGCCAGGATGGTCTCGAACTCCTGACCTCATGATTCACTCCCCTTGGCCTCCCAAAGTGCTGGGATTACAGGCATGAGCCACCATGCCTGGCCTGTTTTGTAGTTCTTTTGTTTCTTTCTTCCAATCTTGCTGTCTTCTTTTGTATTTTATTCAATTTTTGCTTTGATTCATGTCTCTATTTTTTGTGTCTACTAGAGGTTTTTTCCTGTGGTCACCTTGAGGCATATATAACACACCTTGTAATGACAACCATCAAATTTAAACTGATAACAACTTAATTTCCATTGCATATAAAAACTCTGTATCTTGCTTTTCCCCCAGGCCCCCACTTTATTGATATAACATTTTATACCTTTTTATATTGTGTATCCATTAACAAATATTCTAGCTATAGTTGTTTTTGATATTTTTTGTCTTTTATCTTTTATATTAGGCTTAAAAGGGATTTACAAGAGAGAAATTGTCCATCCCAGTGGTTGGAACTCAAGTATCAACAAACTTCACCACTATGGGCTAAAATTCTCTGGGGTCCTAAATAAACTTTAAGGCAGTCTGAGCCACAAGGACTGCAACTCCTAGGCAAGTCCTAGTGCTCTGCTAGGCTTGGAGCCAGTGGATGCAGGGGTCATATGACCTAGTGAGACACCAGACAGGGTGGCCAAGGGAGGGCTTCTGCCACCCCTCCTCTGACACCAAGCAATGCAATTGGTAGCTCTGAAAGAGACTCCTTTATTCCACTTGAGGAGAGGAGTGAAGAGTAAACAGGACTTTGTCTTGCAACTTGGATCCCACTCAGCCACAGTAGGATAGGGCACCAAGTAGAGTCTTGAAGCACCCACTTTAGGCACTAGCTTCCAGATAACATTTCTAGATATACTCTGGGCTAGAAGGGAATGTGCTGCCTTGAAGAGAAGGACCCAGCCCTGGCAGGATTCATCACCTGCTGACTAAAGAGCCTTTGGGCCTTTCCTAATCAGCAGCAATATCCAGGCAGTACATGTCATGGGCATTGAGTGAGACTCTGAAACATGCTGGCTTCAGGTGTGATCCAGAACATTCCCAGCTGTGGTGGCTACAGGGAGAGACTACTTCTGCTTGAGAAAAACAGATGGGAGAGAAAAGGGGACTTTGTCTTGCAGCTTAGATGCTAGCTTGGCCATAGTGTTGTAGAGCAGGAAGTGGGCTCTTGGGGTTCCTGAATCCAGGACTTGGTTCTTGAATGGCATTTGGGGAGTTTCCCTAGGCTAGAGGGGAGCTCACCACATGGAAGGATGAGTCCCAGGCCTGGCAGCATTCACCACAAGCTGACTGAAGAACCTTTGGGTCTTGAATGAACATTGACAGTAGCTTGTTAGTACTCCCCATGGGCCTGTGGCAGTGGTGTCCAAGAGAAGAGACTTCTGTGCTTGTGGAAAAGACTTGTCTTGTGGCTTGCGTGCCAGCTCAGCTGCAGTAGAATGGAGCACCAGGTAGATTCTTAAGGTTTCTTACTCCAGGCCCTGGATCTTAGAGGGCCTCTCTGGAACCATCTGGGGCCGGGGGCATTCGGTGCCATGAAAAAAAGGACACAGATGTGGCTGGTGTTGGTAACTGATAATTGTAGAACCCCAGGGCCTTGAGTGAATGTAGGCAGCAGCCAAATAGTGGTTATAGTGGGCCTTCTGCAAGACCCAGTGCTGTGCTGGCCTCAGGTCAGACCCAGCACAGTCTCAGTGGTGATGGCCACAGGGGAACTTGTATTATGTCTCTCCCAGCCCAGCACCAGGCAGCTAAGCACACTCACACAGAGAGACTCTGTTTGGGAGAAAGTAATGGAAGAGAA